>NW_025791807.1:0-166877 GCF_000001405.40 Homo sapiens | reverse complement strand
CACACCTGGCCAGGACTTCATGGTTTCTTCATCATCATGGAATGAATTCCATCAGGGCATTCTTCCCTGATGTGAGGGCACTGATAGGAAATCTTTAATGGTCCCTGCTGCATGAAACTGCTTCCATTGCACCAGGGTAGCCCTGACCCCTATTTGGTCCCCCACATCTCCTTGTAACTTACCCACACTCCTCCCTCCTTCTCTGTGCAGGTTTCACCCATCGAAGCTCTATGCCCACCACCAGCAGTGAGTATTCAACTCATGTCCACATGCCCATGATCCTACACCAAGCAAAGCAGGAGCTGCCCCTCCTCATAAACCCATAAGTCCTCCTCTTGAGCAAAGTAGCTGGGAAGGCAGAAGTTATTCAAGCTCCCCTCTGCCCCAGTTTCAAAGACAGACTCAGCTCAAGCCCACATGCAGCAAACCCTATAAAAGTCTCACCTCTTGGCATTTCTGCCATGGTAATGCTTTCTGCTCTCACTAATGAGGACTTCTCCTCAGCTCCTGGGACCTCCACAGTGGATGTGGGAACCTCAGGGACTCCATCCTCCAGCCCCAGCCCCACGAGTAAGTACCAGTCAATGGCATCTCTATTAGAGCATGCTATCTCTGTCATTTTTACTCAGATGAAGATGGAAAATCATAGCAAATCTACTGATAGTGAGTGGACCAACGAAATTTGTTGGCCACCTAGTGTGTACCAGATCCTAGAGATACAGGAGGGAAAACAAAACCAATACAAAATTTCTGCTCTCAGTGAGCTTGTATTCTTGTCATGATGATGATGTTGGTGGTGGTGCTGTTGATGACGATGATGATGATGATGATGATGATGATGCTGGTGATACTGTTGATGGTGATAGTGATGTTGATGACAATGATGATGATGATGATGTTGAAGAAAATGATGCTGGTGATGGTGGTGGGGGTTATTATGGTAATAATGATATGTTGAGTGTGACGATGATGGTGGTGGTGTTGATGATGATGATGATTATTATGCTAGTGACATTGATGATGGTAATGGTGATATCAACGACAGTGACAATGATGGTGATGAGGATGATGTCGGTGATGGTGGTGGGGTTATGATGGTAATGATATGTTGAATGTGATGATGGTGATGATGATATTTGTGGTTCATGATGGGGATTGTCATGGTGGTGCTGGTGGTACTTGTGATGACAATAATGATAATAATGATGACAATGATAGTGATGATGGTGATGGTGATAATAAAGATAACAGATATCACCTTACAATATTGAGCACTAAATATGTACCAAGAGCTATGCTCAGTATCTAACTACTATTATATAATCTACTTTAGAAAATGAATTGTATCATAGATAAGAAAGGCGTGGAAAATATTTATTATGTCACTCAATTTAATTGCTGCATATGGTTATTACAAAGTGCTATTCTCTCTACTTTGAACATAATGTTTATTTCACACTCCCACTATAGCTGCTGGCCCTCTCCTGATGCCGTTCACCCTCAACTTCACCATCACCAACCTGCAGTACGAGGAGGACATGCGTCGCACTGGCTCCAGGAAGTTCAACACCATGGAGAGTGTCCTGCAGGGTCTGGTTAGTGTCCTGCCCTCCACACTCTGCCCTGCTCATGATACCCAGTCCCTCTTACATCATCCATGCCAGGGCAATGGAAGAATATCAAACCCAACTCACTTTTGCCCCAAGAGATGCAAGCCTCAGCCAGGAGCGGTGGCTCACGCCTGTAATACCAGCATTTGGGAGGCCAAGGCGGGTGGATCACCTGAGGTCAGGAGTTTGTGACCAGCCTGGCCAACATAGTGAAACCTCATCCCTACTAAAATACAAAAATTAGCCAAGCATGGTGGTGCATGCCTGTAATCCCAGCTACTTGGGAGGGTGAGGCAAGAGAATCACTTGAATCAAGGAGGCAGAGGTTGCAGTGAGTCAAGATCATGCCACTTTACTCCAGCCTAGGCAAAAAAGCGAAACTCCATCTCACAAAAAAAAGAAAAAAAGAGAGAGATGCAAGCCTCCCCCACCAAGGCCAGCCCTGCCCACCTCACTTCTGCCTGGCTCTTACATAAAACTTAGCCCTCCTACTCACTGCCCTCTCCCTCCTCCACAGCTCAAGCCCTTGTTCAAGAACACCAGTGTTGGCCCTCTGTACTCTGGCTGCAGATTGACCTTGCTCAGGTGAGAACTTAGAATTTCCAGCCTGGCTGCCCCACTTGTACTCACTCCAAAAGACTTTGCACTGCTTCCTTGCTGCACTTCCTAGGGATATCCTCACCAAAGGTGGAATTCAGGAGTCACAGGCTTCAGGATCAGTGTGTTTCCTGACAGTAACACCCCTACACTCCACCTCAACAGAGAGAATCTGCATGGCCCATCATCAGGATTGAGCCTCTCCCTTTATCATCCCTCTGAATTCCCTCCATTCCCTGTGCCTCCCTTTCCTTTACATGTTAAATTCTGTCCCCAGGATTTCTTTCAGGACAATCATGCCTTATCCACGTGATTTCATCCTCATTTCGAGCTCTTCACTGGGCTCAAGTCCGGCTCCCCGTCCCGTCCATGAAAGTGTCAGTTTCATCTTGTCACTGTATCCGTGACTCCACTCACAGTCCTCAGCAAGCCAATAGTCCATGCACTAAGAGTCGATGTGGCTTCTCACCTCTTTCCCAGGTTTCTCATTTCTCTGGTCCTTGCTGTCCTTCCCTCAGCAATCGCAAGACCCTTCCTAGATAAACTTTTCATTGTGATTTTTCCCACTGACCCTCCCCAGGCCCGAGAAAGATGGGGCAGCCACTGGAGTGGATGCCATCTGCACCCACCGCCTTGACCCCAAAAGCCCTGGACTCAACAGGGAGCAGCTGTACTGGGAGCTAAGCAAACTGACCAATGACATTGAAGAGCTGGGCCCCTACACCCTGGACAGGAACAGTCTCTATGTCAATGGTGAGTGGCTGTGATGTGGTTGAAATCTCTTCCCCCTTGCTGGGCAGCCTCTAATCTCTAACTAGAGATCACACTCCCTGCCTGGCCTTTGAAAATTCTGTCATGTGCTCTACATGGGATGACTAAGGTCTGGACTTCATGGTTTCCTTACCATCATGGACTGTGTTCCCTCAGGGCATTCTTTCCTGATGTGAGGATGCTGATAGAAAATCTTCAATTGTCCCTGTACCATGAAACTCGGTTCATTGCACCAGGGTAGCATTGACCTCCATTTGGTCCCCCACCTCTCCTTGTCTCTTACCCACTCTCCTCCCTCCTTCTCTATGCAGGTTTCACCCATCAGAGCTCTGTGTCCACCACCAGCAGTGAGTATTCAACTCATATCCACATGCCTCGGTTCCTACACCAAGAGGAGCAGGAGCTGGCCCCTCCTCATAAACCCATTAAGTCCTCTTCATAAGCAAAGGATTTAGGAGGGCAGAAGTTATTTAAGTGTCCCTCTGCCCAGCTCAAGAGACCGACCCAGCTCAAGCTACACATGCAACAAACCCCATAAATAGTCTCCCCTCTTGCCATTTCTGCCAAGAGAGTGCTTTATGCTTTCACTGATGAGAACTTTTCCTCAGCTCCTGGGACCTCCACAGTGGATCTCAGAACCTCAGGGACTCCATCCTCCCTCTCCAGCCCCACAAGTAAGTATCAGTCAATGACATCTCTATGAGAGCATACCTGATTAGTGTAAACATCTCTGTCATTTTCACTCAAATAAAGATGGAAAATCATAGTAAATCTAGTGATACTGAGTGGACAAATTTGTTTGTTTGTTTTTTCTCATCCTTTTCACTTTTTTTATTATACTTTAAGTTTTAGGGTACATGTGCACAATGTGCAGTTTAGTTACACATGTATACATGTGCCATGCTGGTGTGCTGCACCCATTTGCTCGTCATTTAGCATTAAGTATATGTCCTAATGCTATCCCTCCCCCCTCCCCCCACCCTGCAACAGTCCCCAGAGTGTGATGTTCCCCTTCCTGTGTCCACATGTTCTCATTGTTCAATTCCCACCTATGAGTGAGAACATGCGGTATTTGGTTTTTTGTCCTTGCGATAGTTTACTGAGAATGATGATTTCCAATTTCATCCATGTCCCTACAGAGACATGAACTCATCATTTTTTATGGCTGCATAGTATTCCATGGTGTGTATGTGCCACATTTTCTTAATCCAGTCTATCATTGTTGGACATTTGGGTTGGTTCCAAGTCTTTGCTATTGTGAATAGTGCCACAATAAACATACGTGTGCATGTGTCTTTATAGCGGCATGATTTATAATCCTTTGGGTATATACCCAGTAATGGGATGGCTGGGTCAAATGGTATTTCTAGTTCTAGATCCCTGAGGAATCGCCACACTGACTTCCACAATGGTTGAACTAGTTTACAGTCCCACCAACAGTGTAAAAGTGTTCCTATTTCTCCACATCCTCTCCAGCACCTGTTGTTTCCTGACTTTTTAATGATTGCCATTCTAACTGGTGTGAGATGGTATCTCATTGTGGTTTTGATTTGCATTTCTCTGATAGCCAGTGATGGTGAGCATTTTTTCATGTGTTTTTTGGCTGCATAAATGTCTTCTTTTGAGAAGTGTCTGTTCATGTCCTTCTCCCACTTTTTGTTGGGGTTGTTTGCTTTTTCCTTGTAAATGTGTTTGAGTTCATTGTAGATTCTGGATATTAGCCCTTTGTCAGATGAGTAGGTTGTGAAAATTTTCTCCCATTTTATAGGTTGCCTGTTCACTCCAATGGTAGTTTCTTTTGCTGTGCAGAAGCTCTTTAGTTTAATTAGATCCCATTTGTCAATTTTGGCTTTTGTTGCCATTGTTTTTGGTGTTTTAGACATGAAGTCCTTGCTCATGCCTATGTCCTAAATGGTAATGCCTAGGTTTTCTTCTAGGGTTTTTATGGTTTTAGGTCTAACGTTTAAGTCTTTAATCCATCTTGAATTAATTTTTGTATAAGGTGTAAGGAAGGGATCCAGTTTCAGCTTTCTACATATGGCTAGCCAGTTTTCCCAGCACCATTTATTAAATAGGGAATCCTTTCCCCATTGCTCAGATTTGTCAAAGATCAGATAGTTGTAGATATGTGGCGTTATTTCTGAGGGCTCTGTTCTGTTCCATTGATCTATATCTCTGTTTTGGTACCAGTACCATGCTGTTTTGGTTGCTGTAGCCTTGTAGTATAGTTTGAAGTCAGGTAGCATGATGCCTCCAGCTTTGTTCTTTTGGCTTAGGATTGACTTGGCGATGCGGGCTCTTTTTTGGTTCCATGTGAACTTTAAAGTAGTTTTTTCCAATTTTGTGAAGAAAGTCATCGGTATCTTGATGGGGATGGCATTGAATCTATAAATTACCCTGGGCAGTATGGCCATTTTCCCGATATTGATTCTTCCTACCCATGAGCATGGAATGTTTTTCCATTTGTTTGTATCCTCTTTTATTTCATTGAGCAGTGGTTTGTAGTTCTCCTTGAAGAGGTCCTTCACGTCCCTTGTAAGTTGCATTCCTAGGTATTTTATTCTCTTTGAAGCAATTATGAATGGGAGTTCACTTATGATTTGGCTCTGTGTTTGTCTATTATTGGTGTATAAGAATGCTTGTGACAAATTTGTTTTGGCCACCTACTGTGTACCAGACCCCAGGAATACAGTAAGAAAAAGAAAATCAATTTAAAAAAAATCTGTGCCCTCAGTGAGCTTGTATTCTTGTGATGATGATGATGGTGGTGGTAGTTACAATGGTAATGATGATGTGTTGAGTGGGATGATGATGATGGTGGTGGTGACATTGTTTATGATGATGATGATGATGATGGTCATACTGTTGATGATGGCAGTAGTGATGTTGATGATGATGGTGATGGTGATGAGGATGATGCTGGTGATGTTAGAGGAGGTTATGATGGTAATTATGATGTATTGAGTGTGATGATAATAGTGATAGTGTTGCTGTTTATAATGATGATAGTGGTGATCTTGATGATGGTGGTGGTGATGATGACAATGATGATGGTGATGAGGATGATGCAGGTGATGGTGGTGGAGGTTGTGATGGTAATGATGTCGTATTGAGTGTGATGGTGATGATGATGGTGGTAGTGTTGCTGTTTATAATGATCATGATAATGATAGTGTTGATGTTGATGTTGATGGTGGTGGTGATGTCGATGACAATGATGATGATGGTGATAAGGATGATTCAAGTGATGGTGGTGGGGTTATGATGGTAATGATGATGTGTTGAGAGTGATGATGTTTGTGGTGGTCATGATGGGGATTATCATGGTGGTGATGATGATAATAATGATGGTGACGTGACAATGATGGTGATGGTGATGATGATGATAATAAAGTTAACAGAAAATGTCAGACAGTATTGAGCAATAAATATTCACCAACAGCTATGCTCAGCATCTACTATTATATAATATACTTTTACAAAAATAAATTATATTATTATAGGCAAGGGAGGCATGGAAAATATTTTGTCACTCAATTTAAATTCTGCATATATTGAAAGATAAGTCTATTGCAAACTCCTATTTTCTCTGCTTTGAACATAGTGTTTATTTCCCATTCCAGTTATGGCTGCTGGCCCTCTCCTGGTACCATTCACCCTCAACTTCACCATCACCAACCTGCAGTATGGGGAGGACATGGGTCACCCTGGCTCCAGGAAGTTCAACACCACAGAGAGGGTCCTGCAGGGTCTGGTGAGAGCCCCACCCACTTTACTCCTGCCCCATCCCAGATACATCATCTATGCCAGGGCTATGGAAGAAGATTGTATCCATCTCACCCTTGCCCACAAAAGATGCAAGCCCTGCTCACTGAGGCCAGCCATGCCCACTGGTGCCTGCTCCACCCACCTGACTTCTGCCCCACACACATGCACCTTAGCCCTCCTACTCACTTTCCTCTCGCTCCTCCACAGCTTGGTCCCATATTCAAGAACACCAGTGTTGGCCCTCTGTACTCTGGCTGCAGACTGACCTCTCTCAGGTGAGACCTTAGAAGATCCAGCCTGGCTGCCCCAGTTGTTCCCACTCCAGTAGATTTTGCTCTGCTTCCTTGCTGCACCTCCTAGGGATATCCTCACCCAAAGGGGAATTCAGGAGTCACTGGCTTCTGGACCAATGTGTTTCCTGATAGTAACACTCCCACACCTCACCTCAACAGGGAGAATCTGCATGGTCCATCATCAGGATTGAGCCTCTATCCTGATCATCCCTCGGAATTCCCTGCCCCTCCCTTTCATTTAGGTGTTAAATTCTGTCCCCAGAATTTCTCTCAAGACAATCATGCCTCATCCAAGTGCTTTCATCCCTGTTTCTAGCTCTTCACTGGTCTCAAGTCTGGGCTCTCCTGTCCCCATGCTATGAGAATGCAGGTTTCACCTTGCACTTTTATAAGCATGGTTGTATCTGTGACTCTGTGCACAGTCCCAAGCAAGCCAGTAGTCCATGCACTCAGAGAATCTAAGTGTAGCTTCTCACCTCTTTCCCAGGTTTCTCATTTCCTCTGGTTCTTTACTGTCTTTCCATCAGCAGTCTCAGGACACAACCTAAGTAATCTTTTCATAGTCATTCTCCCCACCTACCTTCCCCAGGTCTGAGAAGGATGGAGCAGCCACTGGAGTGGATGCCATCTGCATCCATCATCTTGACCCCAAAAGCCCTGGACTCAACAGAGAGCGGCTGTACTGGGAGCTGAGCCAACTGACCAATGGCATCAAAGAGCTGGGCCCCTACACCCTGGACAGGAACAGTCTCTATGTCAATGGTGAGCAGCTGTGATGTGGTTGGAGTCTTTTCCTTCTAGAGTCTGGAAAGAATCTAATCTGTGGCTTGAAGTCACACTCCCTGCCTGGCCATTGAATATTCTGTCATGTGGTGTAGATGGGATGACAAAGTTCTGGACTTCACAGTTTCTTCATTGTCGTGAACTGTGTTCCCTCAGGGCACTCTTCCCTGTTGTGAGGATACTGATAGGAATTCTTTAATGGCCCCAGTCCCATGAAACTCATTGTCCCATGAAACTCATTTAATTGCATTGGGATTGCCATGACCCTTATTGTGTCCCTCATATCTCCTTAACGCTTACCAAGTCTCCTCCCTCCTTCTCTATGCAGGTTTCACCCATCGGACCTCTGTGCCCACCAGCAGCAGTGAGTATTCAACTCATGTCCACATGCCCCTGATCCTACATTAAGTGGAGCAGGAGCTGGCCCCTCCTCTTAAACCCATAAGTCCTCCTCTTGAGCAAAGGAGCTGGGAAGGCAGAAGTTATTGAAGCTCCCTTCCACCCTAGCTCCAAAGACAGGCCCAGCTCATGCCCATATGCAGCAGACCTCATAATAGTCTACCTTCTTGCCATTTCTGCCATGAGATTATTTTCTGCTTTCACTGATGAGCACTTTTTCTCAGCTCCTGGGACCTCCACAGTGGACCTTGGAACCTCAGGGACTCCATTCTCCCTCCCAAGCCCCGCAAGTAAGTACTAGTCAATGGCATCTCCCTTAGATTATGCCTGATGAGTGTGAACATCTGTGCCATTTTCACTCAAATGAAAATAGAAAATCATAGTAAATCTAGTGATACTGAGTGAACCAAAAAAATTTATTGGCCACTTACAGTGTACCAGACCTTAGAGATACAAGGAAAAGAAAACTAATAAAAGCACCTCTGCCCTCAGTGAGCTTGTGTTCATGTGATGATGGTGGTGGTGGTTATGATAGTAATAATGACATGTTGAGTGTGATGATGATTGATGATGATGGTGATGCTGTTGATGATGATGGTGGTGATGTTACTGGCAATGATGATGATGGACATAAGGATGTTGTCAGTGATGGCTGTGAAGGTTATGATGGTAATGATGGTGTGTGGAGTGTGATGATGATGATGATGTTGCTGTTTATGATGGTGAAAGTGATAGCAACAATCATGATGGCCAGTCATCATAAATATAACAGATAACATCAGACAATATTGAGCACTGAATATGCATGATTAGCTATGCTCAGCATCTAACTACTATTATATAACATACTTTCATAAAAATAAATTGTATTATTATAGGCAAGGGAGACATGGTAAATATTTTGTTTCTCAATTTAAATTTTGCACATGTTTAAAGATAAGTCTATTCTAAACCCCTATTTCTTGACTTTGAACATAGTGTTTATTTTCAATTCCCACTACAGCTGCTGGCCCTCTCCTGGTGCTGTTCACCCTCAACTTCACCATCACCAACCTGAAGTATGAGGAGGACATGCATCGCCCTGGCTCCAGGAAGTTCAACACCACTGAGAGGGTCCTGCAGACTCTGGTTAGTGCCCTTCCCTCCTCACTCTGCCCAGCCCCAGATATCCAGTCCCTTCTACATCATCCATGCCAGGGTGATGAAAGAAGATAGCAACAACTTCCCCCCTTCCCCCCAAGAGATGCAAGCCCCACCCACAGAGACCAGTCCTGCTTATTGGTGCCTGCTCCACCCACCTCACATCTGCCCCGACACACACACACCTTAGCCCCACTACTCACCTCCCTCTCCCTCCTCTACAGCTTGGTCCTATGTTCAAGAACACCAGTGTTGGCCTTCTGTACTCTGGCTGCAGACTGACCTTGCTCAGGTGAGACTTTAGAAGAGCCAGCCTGGGTGCCCAACTTGTTCCCACTCTAAAAGACTTTGCACTGCTTCCTTGCTGCACTTCCTAGGTATATCTTCACCAAAAGGGGAATTCAGGAGTCATTGGCTTGAGAACCAGTTGTTTCCTGATAGTAACACCCCCATGCCCCAACTCAACATGCAAAATCTTCATGGTTCATCATCAGGATTGAGACACTACCCTGATTACCCATCTGAATTCCCTCCTTTCCCTGCCCCTCCCTTTCATTTAGGTGTTAAATTCTGTCCCCAGGATTTCTCTCAAGATAACCATGCCTCATCCACATACATGCATCCGCCTTTCAAGCTCATCACTAGTCTGAAGTCTGGGTTCTCCTGTTCCCATGCCATGAGAATGCAGGTTTCACCTTGCACTTTTATAAAAATTATTATATCCATGACTCTGCTTGCAGTCCCAACCAAGATAGTGGTCTATGTACTCAGATAATCTAAGTGCAGATTCTCACCTCTTTCCCAGATTTCTCATTTCCTCTGGTTCCTTGATATGTTTCCCTCAGCAATCTCAAGACAAGTCCTAGGCAATCTTTTCATTGTCATTCCCCCTCCTACCTTCCTCAGGTCCGAGAAGGATGGAGCAGCCACTGGAGTGGATGCCATCTGCACCCACCGTCTTGACCCCAAAAGCCCTGGAGTGGACAGGGAGCAGCTATACTGGGAGCTGAGCCAGCTGACCAATGGCATCAAAGAGCTGGGCCCCTACACCCTGGACAGGAACAGTCTCTATGTCAATGGTGAGCAGCTGTGATATGGTAGGGGTCTCTTCCTCCTGGCTGTGCAACCTCTAATCTCTGGCTTGGGGGCACACTCCCTGCCTGGCCATTGAAAATTCTGTCACGTGCTCTACATGGGATGACTAAGTTCTGGACTTCATGGTTTCTTTGTTATCATGAGAGGCATTCCCTCTGGGCACTCTTCCCTGTTGTGAGGATGCTGATAGGAAATCTTTAATGACCCCTGTCCCATGAAACTCATTTAATTGCACCAGGGTAGTCCTGAACTCTATCGCGTCCCCCACATCTCCTTAACCCTTACCCAGTCTCCTCCCTCCTTCTCTATGCAGGTTTCACCCATTGGATCCCTGTGCCCACCAGCAGCAGTGAGTATTCAACTCATGTCCAGATGCCCCTGATCCTACATCAAGTGGAGCAAGAGCTGGCCCCTCCTCTTTAACCCATAAGTCCTCCTCTTGAGCAAATGAGCTGGGAAGGCAGAAGTTACTCAAGCTCCCCTCTGCCCCAGCTCCAAAGACAGACCCAGCTCAAGCCCACATGCAGCAGACCTCATAATAGTCTATCTTCTTGCCATTTCTGCCATGAGAGTGCTTTCTGCTTTCACTGATGAGGACTTTTTTCAGCTCCTGGGACCTCCACAGTGGACCTTGGGTCAGGGACTCCATCCTCCCTCCCCAGCCCCACAAGTAAGTACCAGCCAATGGTATCTGTATTAGATCATGCCTGATGAATGCAAACATCTGTGCCATTTTCAGTCAAATGAAAATGGAAAATCATAATAAATCTAGTGATACTGAGTGAACCAAAAAAAATGTATTGGCCACCTACAGTGTACCAGACCCTAGGGATATAGCAAGGAAAATAGAACCAATAAAAACATCTCTGCCCTCAGTGAGCTTGTGTTCATGTGATGATATGATGGTGGTGGTGGTGGTAATAGTAATAATGACATATTCAGTTTGATGATAATTTATGATTATGGTGTTGCTGTTGATGATGGTGGTGGTGATGTTACTGACAATGATGATGACGGACATGAGGATGTTGTCAGTGATGGTTGTGAAGGTTATGATGGTAATGATGTGTTGAGTGTGATGATGATGATGATGGTGGTGGTGCTGTTGATGATGGTGACCATGGTACTGATGGTGTTGATGATGGTAGTGGTGACGTTGATGACAATAACAATAATGGTGATGAGGATGATGCCAGTGATGGTCATGTGGTTATTATGATAATGATGATGTGTTGAGTGTGGTGATGATTATGTTTGTGGTGATCATGATGGGGATTATCATGGTGATGATGATAATAATGATGGTGATGGTGACAATGATAGCAACAATGATTATGGCCATAATAAAGATAACAGATAACATCAGACAATATTGAGCACTGAATATGCACAACTAGCTATGCTCAGCATCTAACTACTATTATATAATATATTTTTATAAAAATAAATTGTATTATTATAGGCAAGGGAGACATAAATATTTTTCTCTCAATTTAAATTTTGTATATGTTTAAAGATAAGTCTATTCCAAACCCCTATTTTCTCTACTTTGAACATAGTGTTTATTTTCAATTCCCACTACAGCTGCTGGCCCTCTCCTGGTGCCGTTCACCCTCAACTTCACCATCACCAACCTGAAGTACGAGGAGGACATGCATTGCCCTGGCTCCAGGAAGTTCAACACCACAGAGAGAGTCCTGCAGAGTCTGGTTAGTGCCCTTCCCTCCTCACTCTGCCAGCCCCAGATATCCAGTCCCTTCTACATCATAGATGCCAAGGTGATGAAAGAAGATAGCACCAACCTCACCCCTGCCCCTGAGAGATGGAAGTCCCGCCCACAGAGACCAGCCCTGCTCATTGGTGCCTACTCCTCCCACCTCACATCTGCCCCTAACACACACACTCCTTAGCCCTCCTACTCACCTCTCTCTCCCTCCTCCACAGCTTGGTCCCATGTTCAAGAACACCAGTGTTGGCCCTCTGTACTCTGGCTGCAGACTGACCTTGCTCAGGTGAGACTTTAGAAGAGCCAGCTTGGCTGCCACAATTGTTCTCACTTTAAAAGACTTTGCACTGTCTCCTTGCTGCACTTCCTAGGGATATCATCACCAAAAAGGGAATTCAGGAGTCACTGGCTTGAGAACCAGTTGTTTCCTGATAGTAACACCACCATTCCCCACCTCAACAGGCAGAATTTTCGTGATCCATCATCAGGATTGAGGCACTACCCTGATCACTCCTCTGTATTCCCTCCTTTGCCTGCCCCTCCCTTTCATTTAGTGTTAAATTCTGTCCCCAGGACTGCTCTTAAGACAATCATACCTCATCCACATACATCCATCCCCCTTTCAAGCTCTTCACTAGTCTGAAGTCTGGGTTCTCCTGTCCCCATGCCATGAGAATGCAGGTTTCACCTTGCACTTTTATAAAAATTATTATATCCATGACTCTGCTTGCAGTCCCAACCAAGATAGTGGTCTATGTACTCAGATAATCTAAGTGCAGATTCTCACCTCTTTCCCAGATTTCTCATTTCCTCTGGTTCCTTGATATGTTTCCCTCAGCAATCTCAAGACAAGTCCTAGGCAATCTTTTCATTGTCATTCCCCCTCCTACCTTCCTCAGGTCCGAGAAGGATGGAGCAGCCACTGGAGTGGATGCCATCTGCACCCACCGTCTTGACCCCAAAAGCCCTGGAGTGGACAGGGAGCAGCTATACTGGGAGCTGAGCCAGCTGACCAATGGCATCAAAGAGCTGGGTCCCTACACCCTGGACAGAAACAGTCTCTATGTCAATGGTGAGGAGCTGCAATATGGTAGGAATCTCTTCCTCCTTGCTGGGCAGCCTCTAATCTCTGGCTTGGGGGCACACTCCCTGCCTGGCCATTGAAAATTTTGTCATGTGCTCTACATGGGGTGACTAAGTTCTGGACTTCATGGTTTCTTCATCATCATGAACTGCATTCCCTTGGGGCACTCTTCCCTTTTGGGAGAATGCTGATAGGAAATCTTAATGGCCCCATCCCATGAAACTCATTTAATTGCACCAGGGTAGCCCTGAACCCTATTGCATCTCCCACATCTCCTTAACCCTTACCCAGTCTCCTCCCTCCTTCTCTACGCAGGTTTCACCCATCAGACCTCTGCGCCCAACACCAGCAGTGAGTATTCAACTCATGTCCACATGCCCCTGATCCTATATTAAGTGGAGCAGGAGCTGGCCCCTCCTCTTAAGCCCATAAGAACTCCTCTTGAGCAAAGGAGCTAGGAAGGCAGAAGTTACTCAAGCTCCCCTCTGCCCCTACTCCAAAGACAGTCCTAGCTCAAGCCCACATGCAGCAGACCTTATAATAGTCTACCCTCTTTCCATTTCTGCCATGAGAGTGCTTTCTGCTTTCACTGATGAGGACTCTTTTCAGCTCCTGGGACCTCCACAGTGGACCTTGGGACCTCAGGGACTCCATCCTCCCTCCCCAGCCCTACATGTAAGTACCAGTCAATGACATGTCTATTAGATCATGCCTGATGAATATGAACATCTGTGCCGTTTTCACTCAAATGAAGATGGAAAATCATAGTAAATCTAGTGATACTGAGTGAACCAAAAAAATGTATTGGCCACCTACATTGTACCAGACCCTAGGGATACAGCAAGGAAAATAAAACCAATAAAAACATCTCTGCCCTCAGTGAGCTTGTGTTCATGTGACGATGATAGTGATGGTGGTTATGATAGTAATAATGACATGTTGAGTGGGATGCTGTTGATGATGGTGATGCTGTTGATGATGGTGATGCTGTTGATGATGGTGATGCTGTTGATGATGGCGGTGGTGATATTACTGATGATGATGGTGATGGACTTGAGGATATTGTCCGTGATGGTCGTGAAGATTATGATGATAATGATGATGTGTTAAGTGTGATGATGATGATGACTGTGGTGATGCTGTTTAGGATGCTGACCGTGGTACCGATGATATTGATGTTGGTCGTGGTTATGTTGATGACAATGACAATGATGGTGATGAGGATAATGCCAGTGATGGTGTGGGGTTATGATGATGATGATGTGTTGAATGTGGTGATGATAATGTTCGTGGTGGTCGTGATGGGCATTACTATGGCAGTGATGGTCATAATAATGATGGTGATGGTGACAATGATAGCAAGGATGATGATGGCAATAAAGATAGTACATAACATCAGACAATATTGAGCTCTGAATATGCACCACGAGGAGTGCTCAGCATCTAAATACTATTATATAATATATTTTTGTAAAAATAAATTGTATTGTTTTAGGCAAGGGAAGCATGGTAAATATTTTGTCACTCAATTTAAATTCTGCATATGTTTAAAGATAAGTCTATTGCAAACTCCTATTTTCTCTACTTTGGACATAGTGTTTGTTTCCCACCTCCACTACAGCTGCTGGCCCTCTCCTGGTGCCATTCACCCTCAACTTCACCATCACCAACCTGCAGTACGAGGAGGACATGCATCACCCAGGCTCCAGGAAGTTCAACACCACGGAGCGGGTCCTGCAGGGTCTGGTTAGTGCTCCACCCTCCTCACTCCGCCCCACCCCAGAGAGTCAGTACCTCCTACATCATCCATGCCAGGTGATGGAACAAGATCATACCCACCTCACCCTTGCCCCAAGAGATGCAAGCCATGCCCATTGAAACCAGCCCCACTCACTGATGCCTGTTCTGCCCACCTGACTTCTGCCCTACACACCCACACACGCAACTTAGCCCTCCTACTCATCTCCTTCTCCCTCCTCCACAGCTTGGTCCCATGTTCAAGAACACCAGTGTCGGCCTTCTGTACTCTGGCTGCAGACTGACCTTGCTCAGGTGAGACCTTAGAAGATCAAGCTTGGCTGCCCCACTTGTTCTCACTCCAATCGACTTTGCACTGCTTCCTTGCTGCACTTCCTAGGGATATCCTCACCAAAGGTGGAATTCAGGAGTCACTGGCTTCATGACCAATGTGTTTTCTGATAGTAACACCCCCAAACCCCACCTCAACAGGGAGAATCTGAATGGCCCATCATCAGGATTGAGCCTCTACCCTGATCATCCCTCTGAATTCCCTCCTGTCCCTGCACCTCCCTTTCCTTTAGGTCTTAAATTCTGTCCCCAGGATTTCTCTCAAGATGATCGTGCCTCATCCACAGGCTTTCATGCCCATTTCCAGCTCTTCATTGGTCTCACGTCTGGTGTCTCTGTCCCCATGCCATGAGAATGCAGGTTTTAACTTGCACTTTTTTATTTTATTTTATTTTATTTTATTTTATTTTATTTTATTTTATTTTATTTTATTTTATTTTATTTTATTATTTCATTGTTGAAACATAGTCTTACTGCACACCAGGCTGGTCTCAGCTCAGTGCAACCTCCGCCTTCCATGTTCAAGTGATTCTCCTGCCTCAGCCTCCCAAGTAGCTGGGATTACAGGCACCCACCACTATACTCAGCAAATTTTTGTATTTTTTGTAGAGACTGGGTTTCACCATGTTGACCAGGCTAGTCTTGAACTCCTGACCTCAAGTGATCTGCCCGCCTTGGCCTCCCAAAGTGCTGGGATTACAGACATGAGGCACTGTGCCAAGCCACTTTGCACTTTCATAAAAATTCTTGTATTCATTACCCTGCTTGCAGTTCAAAGCAAGCCAGTAGTCGGTGCATTCAGAGAATCTAAGTGTGATTTCTCACCTCTTTCCCAGACTTCTCATTTCCTCTGGTTCCTTGCAGTCCTTCCCTCAGCAATCTCAAAACCCTTCCTAGTTAATCTTTTGATTGCATTCCTCCCACCTTCCTTCCCCAGGCCTGAGAAGAATGGGGCAGCCACTGGAATGGATGCCATCTGCAGCCACCGTCTTGACCCCAAAAGCCCTGGACTCAACAGAGAGCAGCTGTACTGGGAGCTGAGCCAGCTGACCCATGGCATCAAAGAGCTGGGCCCCTACACCCTGGACAGGAACAGTCTCTATGTCAATGGTGAACAGATGTGATGTGGTTGGAGTCTCTTCCTCCCTGCTGAGCAGACTCTAATCTCTGGCTTGGGGGCATACTCTCTGCCTGGCCATTGAAAATTCTGTTATGTGCTCTACATGGGATGACTAAGTTCTGGACTTCATGGTTTCTTCGTCATCGTGAACTGCATTCCCTCAGGGCATTCTTCTCTGTTGTGAGGATGCCGATAGGAAACTTTTAATGGTCCCTGTCCCATGGCACCAGGATAGCCATGACCCCTATTGCATCCCCCACATCTCCTTAATCCTTACACAATTTTCTCCCTCCTTCTCTATGCAGGTTTCACCCATCGGAGCTCTGTGGCCCCCACCAGCAGTGAGTATTCAACTCAAGTCCACATGCCCCTGATCCTACACCAAGCACAGCAGAAGCTGCCCCTCCTCATAAACCCATAAGTCCTCCTCATGAGCAAAGGAGCTGGGAAGGCTGAAGTTATTGAAGCTCCCTTCCACCCCAGCTCCAAAGACAGGCCCAGCTCATGCCCACATGCAGCAGACCTCATAATAGTCCCCTGTTTGGCCATTTCTGCCATGAGAGTGCTTCTGCTTTCACTGATGAGGACTTTTCCTCAGCTCCTGGGACCTCCACAGTGGACCTTGGGACCTCAGGGACTCCATCCTCCCTCCCCAGCCCCACAAGTAAGTACCAGTCAATGACATCTCTATTACAGCATGCCTGATGAGTGTGAACATCTCTGCCATTTTCACTCAAATAAAGATGTAAAATTATAGTAAATCTGGTAATAGTGAGTGAACCAAAAATATTTGTTGGCCACCTACTGTGTACCAGACCCAAGGGATACAGCAAGGAAAACAAAACCAATAAAAATGTCTCTGCCCTCAGTGAGCTTTTTTATTCATGTGATGATGATAGTGGTGGTGGTGCTAGTTGTTGATGATGATGATGATCATGATCATGGTAATGATCATGATGGTAATGCTGTTGATGATGGTGGTGGTGCTGTTGATGATGATGATGATGATGATGATAGTGATGCTGTTGATGATAATGGTGTTGATGTTGCCGACCATGATGATGATGGATATGAAGATGATGTCAGTGACGGTTATGATGTTAGTGATGATGATGGTGGTGGTGGTGGTGCTATTTATGATGATGATGATGAAACTGGTGATGTTGATGACAATAACTGGTGATGGTGGTGAGGATGATGCCAGAGATGGTCATGGGGTTATGATGATAATAGTGATGTGTTGAGTGTGGTGATGATGATGCTTGTGGTGGTCATGGTGGGGATTATTATGATGGTGGTGATAATAAAGATTGTGATTGTGACAATGATAGCAATGATGATGATGGCAATAATAAAGATAACAGGTAACATCAGAGAATATTGAGCACTGAATATGAACCAAGAGCTATGCTCAGCATCTAACTACTATTTTATATAATATCCTTTAAAAAATAAATTCTGTCATTGAAGGCAAGGGATGCATGGTAAATATTTATTTTGTCAGTCAATTAAATACTGCCTATATTTAAAGATAACTATATTGCAAACTCCTATTTTCTCTCCTTTGAACATAGTGTTTATTTCCCCCTCCCACTACAGCAGCTGTTCCTCTCCTGGTGCCGTTCACCCTCAACTTTACCATCACCAATCTGCAGTATGGGGAGGACATGCGTCACCCTGGCTCCAGGAAGTTCAACACCACAGAGAGGGTCCTGCAGGGTCTGGTTAGTGCCCTGCCCTCCTCACTCTGCCCTGACCAAGATACTCAGTCCCTCCTACAACATCCAAGCCAGGGTAATGGGAGAAGAATGTACCCACTTCGTCCTTGCCCCCAGAGATGCAAGACTCACCCACTGAGGCCAGCCACGCCCACTGAAGCTAGCCTCACCCACTAGGCCCTGCCTCACTCACCTTATTTCTGCACCCACACACAGGGACCTTAGCCCTCCTACTCATCTCTCTGTCCCTTTTCCACAGCTTGGTCCCTTGTTCAAGAACTCCAGTGTCGGCCCTCTGTACTCTGGCTGCAGACTGATCTCTCTCAGGTGAGGCTAGAATAGCCAGCCTAGCTGTCCCAATTATTCTCACTCCAAAAGGCTTTGCACTGCTTCCTTGCTGCACTTCCTAGAGATATCCTCACCAAAGGTGGGTTTCAGCAGTCACTGGCTTCAGGACCAGTGTGTCTCCTGATAGTAACACCCCCACACTCCACCTCAACAGAGAGAATCTGCATTGTCCATCATCAGAATTGAGCCCCTACCCTGGTCATCACTCTGAATTCCCTCCTTTCCCTGCCCCTCCCTTTCATTTAGGTGTTAAATTCTGTCCCCAGGATTTCTCTCAAGACAATCATGCCTCAGCCACGTGCTTTCATCCTCATTTCCAGCTCTTCACTGGCCTCAAGTCTGGGCTCTCCTGTCCCCATGCCATGAGAATGCAGAATTCACTTTGCACTTTTTTTTTTTTTTGAGACAGAGTTTCACTCTTGTTGCCCAGGCTGGAGTGCAATCGCACAATCTCGGCTCACTGCAACCTCTGCCTCCCAGGTTCAAGCGATTCTCCTGCCTCAGCCTCCCGAGTAGCCGGGATTACAGGCATGGGCCACCACACCCGGCTAATTTTGTATTTTTAGTAGAGACAGGGTTTCTCCATGTTGGTCAGGCTGGTCTTGAACTCCTGACCTCAGGTGATCCACCTGCCTCGGCCTCCCAAAGTGCTGGGATTACAGGCGTGAGACACCATACCCAGCCTCACCTTGCACTTTTATCAAAACTGTTGTATTCATGACTCTGCTCACAGTCTCTAACAAGCCAGTAGTCTGCGCACTCAGAGAATCTAAGTGTGGCTTCTCACCTCTTTCCCAGGTTTCTCATATCCTCTGGTTCCTTGCCGTCCTTCTCTCAGCAATCTCAAGACCCATCCTAGGTAATCTTTTCATTGTCATTCTCCCCACCTACCTTCCCCAGGTCTGAGAAGGATGGGGCAGCCACTGGAGTGGATGCCATCTGCACCCACCACCTTAACCCTCAAAGCCCTGGACTGGACAGGGAGCAGCTGTACTGGCAGCTGAGCCAGATGACCAATGGCATCAAAGAGCTGGGCCCCTACACCCTGGACCGGAACAGTCTCTACGTCAATGGTGAGTGGCTGTGATGTGGTTGAAGTCTCTTCCTCCTTGCTGAGCAGCAGCTAATCTCTAACTAGAGGTCACACTTCCTGCCTGGCAATTGAAAATTCTGTCACTTGTTTTACATGGGATGACTAAGTTCTGGACTTCATAGTTTCTTTATCACCGTAGATTGTGTTCCCTCAGGGCATTCTTTGCTGATATGAGGATGCTGATAGGAAATCTTCAAATGCCCCGTACCATGAAATTCATTCCTTTGCACCAGGGTAGCCTTGACCCCTATTTGGTTGCCAATGTCTCCTTAACCCTTACGCACTCTCCTGCCTCCTTCCCTATGCAGGTTTCACCCATCGGAGCTCTGGGCTCACCACCAGCAGTGAGTATTCAACTCATGTCCACATGCCCCTGATTCTACACCAAGCGGAACAGGAGCTACTCCTCCTCATAAACCCATAGGTCCTCTTCTTCAGCAAAGGAGATAAGAGGGCAGCAGTTACTCAAGCTCTGCTCTGCCCCAGCTCCAAAGACTGACCCATCTCTAGCCACACAGGCAGCGGACCCCATAGTCTCCCCTCTTGCCATTTCTGTCATGAGAGTGCTTCCTGCTTTCACTGATGAGGACTTTTTCTCAGCTCCTTGGACTTCCACAGTTGACCTTGGAACCTCAGGGACTCCATCCCCCGTCCCCAGCCCCACAAGTAAGTACCAGTCAATGGCATCTCTGTTAGAGCATGCCTGATGTAAACGTCTGTGCCATTTTCATTCAAATAAAGATAGAAAATCATAATAAGTCTAGTGATAGTGAGTGAACCAAAAAAATTAATTGGCCACCTACAGTGTACCAGACCCTAGGGATACAGCAAGGAAAATAAAACCAGTAAAAACATCTCTGCCCTCAGTGAGCTTCTGTTTATGTGATGATGATGATGATGATGGTGGTGGTGGTGGTGGTGGTGGTTATGATATTAATCATGATATGTTGAGTGGGATGATGATGATGGTGGTGGTGCTGTTTATGATGATTATGATGACGATGATGATAGTGATGCTATTGATGATAATGGTGGTGGTGGTGCTGACCATGATGAGGATGGACATCAGCATGTCAGTGACAGTTATGATGTTTGTGATGATGTGTTGAGTGTGGTGATGATGATGTTTGTGGTGGTCATGCTTGGGATTATTAAGGTGGTGGTGATAATAATAATAATGGTGATGGTGACAATGATAGCAACAATGATGATGGCAATAAAAAAGATAACAGATAACATCATACAATATTATGCTCTGAATATACACCAAGAGCTACGCTCAGCATCTAACTACTATTATAAAACATCCTTTAAAAAATAAATTATGTCGGGCCGGGTGTGGTGGCTCACGTCTATAATCTCAGCACTTTGGGAGGCCAAGGTGGGTAGATCACGAGGTCAAGAGATCAAGACTCTCCTGGCCAACATGGCGAAACCCCATCTCTACTAAAAATACAAAAATTAGCCGGCCGTGGTGGTACATGCCTGTCCCAGCTACTTGGGAGGCTGAGTCAGGAGAATCGTTTGAATCCAGGAGGTGGAGATTGCAGTGAGGTGGAGATTGCA
The DNA here is from genome assembly GCF_000001405.40 of Homo sapiens. Classification (NCBI taxonomy): domain Eukaryota; kingdom Metazoa; phylum Chordata; class Mammalia; order Primates; family Hominidae; genus Homo; species Homo sapiens. The sequence goes on along the minus strand of NW_025791807.1, from coordinate 145,678 downwards.
GTGAGCCGAGATGGCACCACTGCACTCTAGCCTGGTGACGGAGCGAGACTCCATCTCAATAAATAAATAAATAAATAAATTCTGTCATAGGGAAGGGATGCATGGTAAATATTTATTTAGTCATTCAATTTAAATGTTGTACATGTTTAAAGATAAGTCTGTTGCAAACTCTTATTTTCTCCACTTTGAACATAGTGTTTATTTCCCCCTCCCACTACAGCTGCTGGCCCTCTCCTGGTGCCATTCACCCTAAACTTCACCATCACCAACCTGCAGTATGAGGAGGACATGCATCGCCCTGGATCTAGGAAGTTCAACGCCACAGAGAGGGTCCTGCAGGGTCTGGTTAGTACCCTGCCCTCTTCACTCTCCCCCGCCCTGGATGCCGAGCCCCTCATACAACATTCATGCCAGGGCAATGGAAGAATATCGCACCAACCTTGCCCTCATCCCCAGAGATGCAAGCCTCACCCACTGAGGCCAGCCACTCTCATGGGTGTCTGCCCCACCCACCTCACTTTTGTCCCCACACAGGGACCTTAGCCCTCATACTTACCTCTCTCTCCCTCCCCCACAGCTTAGTCCCATATTCAAGAACTCCAGTGTTGGCCCTCTGTACTCTGGCTGCAGACTGACCTCTCTCAGGTGAGGCTAGAACAGCCAGCCTGGCTGCCCCAATTATTCTCACCCCAATAGACTTCGCACATCTTCCTTTATACACTTCCTAGGGATACCCTCACCAAAGGTGGAATTCAGGAGTCACTAGCTTCAGGACCCAGTGTGTTTCCTGATAGTAACAACCCCACACCTCACCTCAACGGAATCTGCATGGTCCATCATCAGGGTTGAGCTCCTACCCTGATCATTCCTCTGAATTCCCTCCTTTCCCTCCATCTCCCTTTCCTTTAGGTGTTAAATTCTGTCCCCAGGATTTCTCTCAAGACAATCATGCCTCAGCCACGTGCTTTCATCCCCATTTCAAGATCTTCACTGGTCTCAAGTCTGGGCTCTTTTTTCTCATGCCATGAGATGCAAGTTTCACCCTTGCACTTTTATGAGAATTGTTGTATCCATGACTCTACTCACGGTCCCAAGCAAGCTGGTAGTCTGTGCACTCAGAGAATCTAAGTGTGGCTTCTCACCTCTTTCCCACGTTTCTCATTTTCTCTTCTCCTTTGCTGTCCTTCCATCAGCAATCTCAAGACCTGTCCTAGGTAATCTTTTCATTGTCATTCCCCCAACCTCCTTTCCCCAGGCCCGAGAAGGATGGGGCAGCAACTGGAATGGATGCTGTCTGCCTCTACCACCCTAATCCCAAAAGACCTGGGCTGGACAGAGAGCAGCTGTACTGGGAGCTAAGCCAGCTGACCCACAACATCACTGAGCTGGGCCCCTACAGCCTGGACAGGGACAGTCTCTATGTCAATGGTGAGCAGCTGTGATGTGGTTGGAGGCTCTTCCTCTCTGATGGGCAACCTCTACTCCCTGGCTTGAGGTCACACTCACTGCCTGGCCATTGAAAGCTTGACCATGTTGTCTATATTTGATAGTTGACGTCAGAACATCATGGTTTCTTCTTTATGTTGGAGACTGGGTCTACCCTCAGGGTTTTCTTCCCTGATGTGAGGGTCCTGATAGAAAACATCCAGCAGCCCCGGTTCCATTTCACCAGGGTAGCCCTGACCCCTATTTTGTTATCCACCTCTACCTTAACCTTACTCAGGTTACTCCCTCTTTCTGTGCAGGTTTCACCCATCAGAACTCTGTGCCCACCACCAGTAGTGAGTATTCAACTGATAATCTCATGCCCCTGATTCTACACAAAGCAGAGCAGAAGCTGACCCTCCTCCTTATAAATCCATAGCTCCTCTTCTTAAGAGAAGGAGCTGGGAAGGCAGAAGTGATTCATACTCCCTTCTGACCCAGCTACAAACTGATCTAGGTCAAGCCCCATATGCATCAAGTTTCATAATAGTCTTACGTGCTGGCATTTCTGCCATGAGGGGACTTGCTGCTTTCACTGATGAGAGCTTCTTCTCAGCTCCTGGGACCTCCACAGTGTACTGGGCAACCACTGGGACTCCATCCTCCTTCCCCGGCCACACAGGTGAGCACCAGTCAATGATACCAGTCGATGGTGAGTGTCTGCATCTCTGTCATTTTCATGCAAATTAAGATGAAAATCATAGCAAATCAAATCTAGTGTTGCTGATGCAACCAACACACTTTACTGAGCGCCCACTCTGCGCCAGGCCCATGGAATATGGCAGGGAATACAAAAGAGATAAAAATGTCTTCCTTCAGAGAGCTTATATTCTTGTGATGATGAGGATGATAAAGGTGGTGGTGATGATGGTTGTGGTGATGGAGATGATGATGATATGATGGAGATGACTATAAAGATGGTGATGCTGCTGATGATGTTGGTGATGGTGATGATTATGGAGATGGTGATGAAGATGATGGTGATAATGGTGGTGCTGGTTATAACAGGTATGATGATGTGATGGTGGTGATGTGATGATTGTGGTGATAGTGGTGATGTTTGAGATGATTGTGGTGATGATGATGATTGCCAATGATGATTGTGATGTTTACAATGAGCATAATGAAGATGATGACGATGATGATGATGATGATGATGATGATTGTGTTGGTGGTTATCCTGGTAATGATAATATTATGATGGTGCTGGTGGTAATGATGCTGATTATGATCACTGTGGTGGTGATAGTGATGAGGATGGTGGTAGAGGTGGTGCTGATGTTGATGGTGATGAAAGTGATGATAGCCATGGCGACAACTATGGTTATGTTGCTGATGAAGGTGGCAATAACAGAGGTAAAAAATAACATCTGACATTATTGAGCACTGAATCCACACCAAGAGCTGTGTTTACCATCGAATTACAATTATGTAATATGCTTCCTTATGAAAAACTTCTATCATTGTAGTAAAGAGAGGCATGAAAATCTTTTATTTTTCATTCACGTTAAATGCTGTAGAATACGTTAAAAAATAAGTCTATCGTGGCCGGGCGCGGTAGCTCACGCCTGTAATCCCAGCACTTTGGGAGGCCGAGGCAAGCAGATCACAAGGTCAGGAAATCAAGATCATCCTGGCTAACATGGCGAAACCCCATGTCTACTAAAAATACAAAAAAAAATTAGCCAGGCCTGATGGTACGCACCTGTATACCCAGCTACTCAGGAGGCTGAGGCAGGAGAATCACTTCAACCCAGGAGGCAGAGGTTGCAGTGTGCCGATATCACGCCACTTCACTTCAGCCTGGGCTACAGAGTGAGACTTCATTGCAAAAAATAAAAACTAAAAAATAAATATATTGCAAACTGTTATATATTTCTCTACTTTTGAACATAGTGTTTATTTCCCAACCGCTTTACAGAGCCTGGCCCTCTCCTGATACCATTCACTTTCAACTTTACCATCACCAACCTGCATTATGAGGAAAACATGCAACACCCTGGTTCCAGGAAGTTCAACACCACGGAGAGGGTTCTGCAGGGTCTGGTAAGAGCTCCACCACCTTACCAGTCCCGCTTATATCACCCATGCCAGGGCCATGGAAGATCTCACCCACCACTCCTTGGCCCCAGAGATGCAAGCCCCGCCTACTGATGCCAGCCTCTCCTACCTCATGTCAGACTCATCCCTACACCTCAGCTCACCCACTTACCTTCCTATGCTTCCTCCACAGCTCACGCCCTTGTTCAAGAACACCAGTGTTGGCCCTCTGTACTCTGGCTGCAGACTGACCTTGCTCAGGTGAGACCTTAGAATTTCCAGCTTGGCTTACCCAGTTGTCCCCAGGCCCAAGGAATTTGTTCAGCTTCCTTCTTGCCCTACAAAAGGATGGCCGCAGCACAGATAGAATTCAGGAGGCACTGGCTCCAGAACCAATTTGTCTCCTGATTCTACCACCTCCCGCATCAACTGACAAATTCTTCGGAGTCCATCAGCAGGATTGAGCCCTTACCCTCATCACCTCTCTAAATTCCCTCCACCTCCCTTTCCTCCAGTTGTTAAACTCTGTTCCCAGAATTTCTCTCCAAACAAACATGCCTCATCTGCTTGCTTTCACCCCTAATTCCTGTTCTTCTCCTATCTCAGGACTGAGCTCTTCTTTCCCCATTGCTGTGAGAATGTAGATTGCACCTTGTGATTTCATAAAAATCCTTGCATCCATGACTCTGCTCACAGTCCCAGGCTGGCAGGGAGTCGAAGCACTCAGGGAATCAAAGTGTGGTTTCTCTCACTTCTGTACCAGGCTTCTCAATTCCTCTGGTGCCTTCCTGTCCCTTACCCAGCAAGCTTCAGGACCCCTCCCCAGGCAATCCATTCATTGCCATTCCCCACTCTTACCCTCCCCAGACCTGAGAAGCAGGAGGCAGCCACTGGAGTGGACACCATCTGTACCCACCGCGTTGATCCCATCGGACCTGGACTGGACAGAGAGCGGCTATACTGGGAGCTGAGCCAGCTGACCAACAGCGTTACAGAGCTGGGCCCCTACACCCTGGACAGGGACAGTCTCTATGTCAATGGTGAGCAGCCGTGATGTGATTGGAGGCTCTTCCTCCTAGCTGGGCAGATGCTACTGTTTGTCCTGAGGTCACGTGCCCTTTCTGACCATTGAGGGTTTGATGATGTGCTCTATATCTGATGATTGAAGTTTCAACTTCATGGTTTCATCTTCATCTTGCACGGATTTCACCCTCAAGGCCTTCTTCCCCCATGTGAGGGTGGTGGTGAAGAATCACAATGACCATGCATCATTACACTTTCCTCATTGCACTAGGGTAACCCTGATCCCTATTTGGTCCGACCTCTCCTTAACCCTTACCCACTCTCCCTCCTTCTCTCTGCAGGCTTCAACCCTTGGAGCTCTGTGCCAACCACCAGCAGTGAGTATTTTACTGATGTTCCAGTCCCCCCAATCCTACACCAAGCAGGGCAGGAGCTGACCTTACCTCTTATCCCCTTATGTCCTCTTCATGAGGGAAAAGGCTGGGAGGGCACAAATTATTCCCTTTCCCCTGTGCCCTAGCTCCATAAAGAGGCTCAGCTCAAACCTCAAATGCAGCAGGGCCGATAGTAGTCTTACCTGCTGACATTTCTGCCATGAGGGGACTTGCTGCTTTCACTGATGAGAGCTTCTTCTCAGCTCCTGGGACCTCCACAGTGCACCTGGCAACCTCTGGGACTCCATCCTCCCTGCCTGGCCACACAGGTGAGCACCAGTCAGTCAGTGATACCAGTCGATGGTGAGTGTCTGCATCTCTGTCATTTTCATGCAAATTAAGATGAAAAATCATAGCAGATCAAATCTAGTGTTGCTGATGCAACCAACACACTTTATTGAGCACCTACTCTGTGCCAGGCCCATGGATTATGGCAGGGAATACAAAAGAGATAAAAATGTCTTCCTTCAGAGAGCTTATATTCTTGTGATGATGAGGATGATAAGGGTGGTGGTGATGATGATGGTGGAGATGGAGATGATGATGATATGATGGAGATGACTATAAAGATGGTGATGCTGCTGATGATGTTGGTGATGGTGACGGTGATTATGGAGATGGTGATGAAGATGATGGTGATAATGGTGATGCTGGTTATAACAGGAATGATGATGTGATGGTGGTGATGTGATGATTGTGGTGATAGTGGTGATGTTTGAGATGATTGTGGTGATGATGATGATTGCCAATGATGATTGTGATGTTCACAATGAGAATAATGAAGATGATGACAATGATGATCATGATGATGATTGTGTTGGTGGTTATCCTGGTAATGATAATATTATGATGGTGCTGGTGGTAATGATGCTGATTATGATCACTGTGGTGGTGATGGTGATGAGGATGGTGGTAATGGTGGTGCTGATGTTGATGGTGATGAAAGTGATGATAGCCATGGCGACAACTATGGTTATGTTGCTGATGAAGGTGGCAATAACAGAGGTAAAAAATAACATCTGACATTATTGAGTACTAAATCTGCACCAAGCGCTGTGTTCACCATCTAATTACAATTATATAATATGCTTCTTTATGAAAAACTTCTATCGTTTTAGCCAAGAGAGGCTTGAAAATCTTTTAGTTTTTATCCACATTAAATCCTGTGGCATATGTTCAAAAATAAGTCTATTGCAAACTTTTATATATTTCTCTGCTTTTGAGCATAGTGTTTATTTCCCAACCCCTTTACAGCCCCTGTCCCTCTCTTGATACCATTCACCCTCAACTTTACCATCACCAACCTGCATTATGAAGAAAACATGCAACACCCTGGTTCCAGGAAGTTCAACACCACGGAGAGGGTTCTGCAGGGTCTGGTAAGAGCTCCACCACCTTACCAGTCCCGCTTATATCACCCATGCCAGGGCCATGGAAGATCTCACCCACCACTCCTTGGCCCCAGAGATGCCAGCCCCACCTAGTGATGCCAGACCCTCCTACCTCATGTCTGCCCCGTCCCTCCACCTCAGCCCACCCACTCACCTCCCTCCCCTTCCTCTACAGCTCAAGCCCTTGTTCAAGAGCACCAGCGTTGGCCCTCTGTACTCTGGCTGCAGACTGACCTTGCTCAGGTGAGACCTTAGAATTTCCTGCCTGGTTTCTCCAATTGTTCCCAGGCCCAAAGAGTTTGCTCACCTTCCTTCCTGCCCTACCCACACCAACTGACAAATTCTTCAGAGTCCATCAGCAGGATTGATCCCTTACCCATCACCCCTCTAAATTCCCTCCACCTCCCTTTCCTCCAGTTGTTAAACTCTGTTCCCAGAATTTCTCTCCAAACATGACTCATCTACTTGCTTTCACCCCTAATTCTTGTTCTTCCCCTGTCTCAGGACTGAACTCTTCTTTCTCCATTGCTCTGAGAATGCAGGTTGCACCTTGTGATTTCATGGAAATCCTTGCATCCATGACTCTGCTCACAGTCCCAAGCTGGCAGGGAGTTGAAGCACTCAGGGAATCAAAGTGTGGCTTCTCTCACTTCTGTACCAGGCTTCTTAATTCCTCTGGCCCCTTCCTGTCCTTCACCCAGTAAGCTCAGAACCCCTCCCTAGGCAATCCACTTATTGCCATTCCCCACTCTTACCCTCCCCAGACCTGAGAAACATGGGGCAGCCACTGGAGTGGACGCCATCTGCACCCTCCGCCTTGATCCCACTGGTCCTGGACTGGACAGAGAGCGGCTATACTGGGAGCTGAGCCAGCTGACCAACAGCGTTACAGAGCTGGGCCCCTACACCCTGGACAGGGACAGTCTCTATGTCAATGGTGAGCAGCCGTGATGTGATTGGAGGCTCTTCCTCCTAGCTGGGCAGATGCTACTGTTTGTCCTGAGGTCACGTGCCCTTTCTGACCATTGAGGGTTTGATGATGTGCTCTATATCTGATGATTGAAGTTTCAACTTCATGGTTTCATCTTCATCTTGCACGGATTTCACCCTCAGGGCCTTCTTCCCCCATATGAGGGTGCTGGTGAGGGATCCCAATGACCATGCTTCATGAAACTTTCCTCATTGCACAAGGGTAACCCTGACCCCTATTTGGTCTGACTTCTCCTTAACCCTTACCCAGTCTCCTCCCTCCCTCTCTCTGCAGGCTTCACCCATCGGAGCTCTGTGCCAACCACCAGTAGTGAGTATTTTACTGATGTTCCAGTCCCCCCAATCCTACACCAAGCAGGGCAGGAGCTGACCTTACCTCTTATCCCCTTACATCCTCTTCTTATGGGAAAAGGCTTGGAGGGCACAATTTATTTCCTTTTCCCTGTGTCCTAGCTTCATAGAGAGGCTCAGCTCAAACCTCAAATGCAGTGGGGCCCATAATAGTTTTACCTGCTGGCATTTCCACCATGAGAGGGTTTGCTGCTTTCAGTAATGAGGGCTTATTCTCAGTTCCTGGGACCTCTGCAGTGCACCTGGAAACCTCTGGGACTCCAGCCTCCCTCCCTGGCCACACAGGTGAGCACCAGTCAATGGCACCTCTGTTAGATCATGCCTGAGCGTGCCAACATCTCTGCCACTGTTGACTCAAATAAAGATGAAAAGTAATGGCAAATCTAGTGACGGTAAATCAAGTCACAAACTTTAATGCCCGGGGATACAGCAGGGAACAGAAAAGAGATAAAATAACTGCATTCAGAGAGCTTATATTTCCATGATGATGATGATTAAGTGGGTGTTGGTGATGATAATGGTGATGATCATGATGATGATGACTGTGATGATGATGATAATGGTGATGCTGATGATAGTGGTGGTAATGAGAAGGACAAGAATAATGGTGGTAGTGAGGATGATGGTGATGATGATGATAGTAGAAACAGAGAATAGATAATTTTTGGCAATATTGAGCACTGAATATGCATCAAGAGCTATGCTCAGTATTTACCTACTATTGTATGCTTTCTACAAAATTCTATCACTTTAAATGCTGCATATGGTTTTTTGTTTGTTTGTTTCGTTTTTTTGAGACAGAGTCTCACTCTGTCGCCAGGCTGGAGTGCAGTGGCGCGATCTCAGCTCATTGCAACCTCCACCTCGTGGGTTCAAGTGATTCTTGTGCCTCAGCCCCCCAAATATCTGGGATTACAGACGTGCCACCACACCAAGCTCATTTTTGTATTTTTTTTTTTAAGTAAAGACGGGGTTTCATCATGTTGGCTAGGATGGTCTTGATCTCCCAACCTCGTGATCCACCCACCTCGGCCTCCCAAAGTGCTGGGATTACAGGCGTGATAAATTCTGCACGTGTTTAAAAATAAGTCCGTTGCAATATCATATTTTTCCTACTTTTGAACATAGTGTTTACTTCCCACTCCCACTGCAGCCCCTGGCCCTCTCCTGGTGCCATTCACCCTCAACTTCACTATCACCAACCTGCAGTATGAGGAGGACATGCGTCACCCTGGTTCCAGGAAGTTCAACACCACGGAGAGAGTCCTGCAGGGTCTGGTGAGAGCCCTACCATTTTGCCAGTCCCACCTACATCATCTATGCCAGGGCCACAGAAGATCTCACCCACCACTCCTGGGTCCCAGAGATACAAGCCCTGCCCACTGATGCCAGCCCCTTCTACCTCATGTCTGCCATGCCCCTACACTTCAGCTCTCCCATTCACCTCCCTCTCCCTCCTCTGCAGCTCAAGCCCTTGTTCAAGAGCACCAGTGTTGGCCCTCTGTACTCTGGCTGCAGACTGACCTTGCTCAGGTGAGACCTTAGAGGAGCCAGCCTACCTTCTCCAATTGTTCCCAGTCCCAAGAAGTTTGGAAAACTTCCTTCCTGCCCTCCCTAGGGGTGCCCTCAGCACTGGTGGAATCCAGGAGGCAGTGGCTCCAGGACCAAAGTGTCCCTGATAGTAACATCTCTCCACTCAACAGTGATGCTGCAGAGCTCATCAGCAGGATAGGGCCCCTACCCTGGTCATCCCTCTAAGTTCCCTCCTTTCCCACCACCTCCCTTTCCTGCAGATAATAAACTCTACAACCAGCATTTCTTTCAAACACAAACATGCCTCATCCACTTGCTTTGATCCCCAATTCCAGCTCTTCACCTGTCTCAAGTCTGAGCTCTCCTGTCCCCATCTTCTGAGAACAGAGGATCCACTTTATAATGTTACAAATATTTTTGTGTCCATGATTCTGCTCATAGACCCAGGCTGGCTGGGAGTTGGTGCACTCACAGAATCTATGTGTAGCTTCTCACCTCTGTACCACTTCCTCTGGCCCCTGCCTGTCCTTCCCTCAGGAATCTCAGGACCTCTTCCTAGGCAATCCACTTATTGTCATTCCCCTCACTTATCCTCCTCAGGCCTGAAAAACGTGGGGCAGCCACCGGCGTGGACACCATCTGCACTCACCGCCTTGACCCTCTAAACCCTGGACTGGACAGAGAGCAGCTATACTGGGAGCTGAGCAAACTGACCCGTGGCATCATCGAGCTGGGCCCCTACCTCCTGGACAGAGGCAGTCTCTATGTCAATGGTGAGTGCCTGTGATGTGGTTGCAGGCTTTTCCTTCTTGATGAGTGGCCTCTACTCTCTGGCTTGAGGTCACAGTTCCTGCCTGATTATTGTAGGTGCAGCCACTTTGTCTTTTGTGATTGCTGACATCTAAACTTCAGGGTTTCTTCTTCATCTTGCACTGAGTTATATCTTCAGGGTCTTCTTCCTTGACGTGAGGGTGGTAATAGAGAATCTCCAATGGCCTTTGTTCCATGAAACTCCTTCCATTAAACCAGGGTACCCTGACCCCTATTTGGTCACCCACCTCTCCTTTGACTCTTATTCTCCATTCTTCCTCTCTCTCTCTCTGCAGGTTTCACCCATCGGAACTTTGTGCCCATCACCAGCAGTGAGTATTCAACTGACATTCCAGTGCCCCCAACCCTACATTAAGCAGGGCAGGACCTGAACCCACTTCATATGCCTTTCTATTATTTTCATGAGCAAAGGAGCTGGATGGGCACAAGTTATTCCCTTTACCCTGTGCCCCAGGGAGAGACCCAGCTCCAACCCCACATACAGCAAGGCCCATAAATTGTCTTACCTACTGGCATTTCTGCCATGAGAGAGCTTGCTGCTTTCACTGATGAGGTCTTTCCCTCAGCTCCTGGGACCTCCACAGTACACCTAGGAACCTCTGAAACTCCATCCTCCCTACCTAGACCCATAGGTAAGTACCAGTCAAAGGCACCTCTGTTAGAGCATGATTGATGAGCAGCAACATGTCTGCCATTATTTACTCAAATAAATGTAAAAATCATAGTAAATCTAGTGATGTTGCGTCAACCTACAAATGTTATTGGGCACCTCCTCTGTGCCAGACCCTGGGGATACAGCAAGTATACAAAACAGATAAAAGTCTCTGCCATCAGAGAGCTTATATTCTTGTGATGATGCCTGTGGCAGGTGGTGATGATGATAGTGGTGGTGGTTTTGATGATGATGGTGATGCTTATGGTAGCAATGATGATAATGATGATGAAGGTGGTGAGGATGATGACAGGTGAGGATGAGGATGAAGGTGGGGGTTATGATAATGATGATGTGTTGAGTGTGATAAATGATAGTGCTGGTGGTCATGATGGAGATGATCATGGTGGTGGTCATGGAAGTGGTGGTGACAACAATGATGGTGTGGGTGACAGTGATGGTGATGGTGATGATGATGTTTCTGGTGCTGGTGGTGATGATGGAGATTATCATGGTGGTGGTGGTGGTGGCAGTAATGATGACAATTATGGTGTGGGTGACAATGATAGTGATGATGATGATGACAATGGGGATTATCCTGGTGATGATGATGGCAGTGATGATGGCAGTAATGATGGTGATGATGATGATTATGGTGGTGGTGATGGGGATTATCATGGTGATGATGGTGGCAGTGATGATGACAGTAATGATGTTGATGATCATGATGATGGTGGTGATGGTTGTGCTGGTGGTGATTGTGGGGATTATTACGGTGGTGGTGGTGGCAGTGATGATGACAATAATGATGCTGTAGGTGACAATGATGGTGATTATGATGGCGCTAACAAAGGTAAAGGATAACATGACATTATTGAGCAATGAACATACAATGAAAGCTAGGCTTAGCATCCAACTGATATGATATAGTATGTGTTTTTTAAAATTCTATCATTATAGTTAAGGGAGGGATCAAAATTCTTCATTTTGTCCATCCCGTTTAATGCTGTGTATATTTAAAAATAATTCTATTGCAAACCCATAATTTTTCTATTTCTGAACATAGTGTTTGTTTCTCACTCCCACTACAGTGCCTGGCCCTCTCCTGGTGCCATTCACCCTCAACTTCACCATCACCAACTTGCAGTATGAGGAGGCCATGCGACACCCTGGCTCCAGGAAGTTCAATACCACGGAGAGGGTCCTACAGGGTCTGGTGAGAGTCCAACCCATCTCACTCTGCCTGGCCCACCTTACCAGATTCCACCTGCATCACCCATGCCCGGGATATAGAAGAAGATCCCATGTGAATCACCTTCGACCCCGAGTCACAAGCCCTACCCACTGGTGTCAGCCCCACCCACCTATCTCATTTCTGCCCTGCCTCTCCTCATCAGCCCTCCCAATCACCTCCCTCTCCCTCCTCCACAGCTCAGGCCCTTGTTCAAGAATACCAGTATCGGCCCTCTGTACTCCAGCTGCAGACTGACCTTGCTCAGGTGAGACCTTAGAATAGCCAATCAGGGCTTACCCAAGTGTTCCCAGGCCCCAGAAGCATCCTTCTTGCCCTCCCTGTGAACGTCCTCAGCAGAAGTGGGATTCAGTTGGCAGTGGCTTCAAGAAAGAACGTGTCTCCTGATCCTAGCACTTCCCCACTCAAGTGACAGATTCTCCTGAGCCCATCATAAAGTTTGGCTTCTTACTCCATTCATCCTTCTTAATGCCTTCCATTCCCCCATATCCCTTCCCTTAAGTTTTAAAATTCTGTTCCCAAGGTCTCCCTTAAGAGAAAGGTGGCTTTTCCACTTGCTTTTATCTCTGATTCTAGCTCTTCACTTATCTCAAGTCTGAGCTCTCCTGTCTTCGCGCTATCAAACTGCAGGTTTCACCTTGCAATTTCATAAATACTCTTGTGTCCATGACTCTGCTTGGACTGGGAGTTGGTGCATTTAGAGAAATTAACTGTGGCTTCTCACCTCTCTCCCAGGCTTCTCATTTCCTCTGTCCCCTCCCTGTCCTTCCCTCAGGAATCTCAGGACCCCTTCCTGGGCAGTCCTTTCATTGTCACCCCCCCCCCCCACCACCTAACCTCCTCAGGCCAGAGAAGGACAAGGCAGCCACCAGAGTGGATGCCATCTGTACCCACCACCCTGACCCTCAAAGCCCTGGACTGAACAGAGAGCAGCTGTACTGGGAGCTGAGCCAGCTGACCCACGGCATCACTGAGCTGGGCCCCTACACCCTGGACAGGGACAGTCTCTATGTCGATGGTGAGCAGCTTTGATGTGGTTGGAGTCTCTTCCTCCTTGCTGGACAACCCCTCCTCTCTGGCTTGAAGTCGCACTTCCTGTCTGGACGTTGAAGCCTCTGCCATGTTGTCTGTATGTGATGATTGATGTTAGAACTTCATTATTTTTTTCTGCATCTTGGACTGAGTTCATTCTCCAGACCCTGGTCCCTGAAGTGAACGTGCTGATAGAGAACCTCTAATGGCTCCTGTTCCATGAAACCCCTTCTATTCCACCAGGGTAGCTCTGATTCCTATTTGGTCCCCCCACCTCTCCTTAACTCTTACCCACTATCCTCCTTCCCTCTCTCTGCAGGTTTCACTCATTGGAGCCCCATACCAACCACCAGCAGTGAGTATTCAACTGATGTTCCAGTACCCCCAATTCTACCCCAAGCAGGGCAGGAGCTTAGTCCTCCTCATACACACTTATGTCCCCTTTATGAGAGGAAGGTGCTGGGAGAGCACAAGTTATTCCCTCTCCCCTATGCCCAAAAGAGAAACACAGTTCAAGACCCACCTGCAGCAAGCCTCATACTAGTCCTACCTGCTGGCATTTCTGCCATGAGAATGCTTGCTGCTTTCACTGATGAGGGCTTCTCCTTAGCTCCTGGGACCTCCATAGTGAACCTGGGAACCTCTGGGATCCCACCTTCCCTCCCTGAAACTACAGGTAAGTATCAGCCAATGGCACTTCCATTAGAGTGTGCCTGATGAATATAAACATTTCTGCCATTATGCACTTAAATAAAGATAAAAGTCATAGTAAATATGGTGATGAGGAGTTAACCTGTAAACTTTATTGAGCACCTACTCTGTGCCAGGCCCTGGAGATACAGCAGGGAACATAGAAATAGATAGCAATCTCTGCTTAAGATAGCTTATATTCCTGTGATGATGATGATGTAAGTGATGGTGATGATGATGGTGGTGATGCTGATGATGATGTTGATAATGATCATGATATAGATGATGGTGGTGATGTTGCTAATTATGATGACAGTGATGAGGATGATGATAATGGTGGGGGTAGTGGTTATGATGATAATAATTATGTGAAGACAGTAATAATTATGGTGGTGGTGATTGACAAAAATGATGATGATGTTGACACTGATGATAATGAAGATGGTGATGATAGCGCTGGTGGTGATGGGGATACAATAATACTACTGATGGTGGCAATCATGGTGATATTGACAGTGATGATGGTGATGATGATAATGGTGATGGAGGTGATGATTGGGATGATGATGGTTGTGGTGTTAATGGTGATAATGATGATGGTGGTGGTGGTGTTGGGGTTGGTGCTGATGGTGGTGATGATAATAATACTCATGGAGACAATCATGGTGATGTTGAAAATGAAGGTGGTGTTAACAACGGCACTAGATAGTATCTGGCACTATGGAACACTGAATATGCACCAAGACCTATGCTCAGCCTCTAACTACTATTTAATGTGCTCTCTCAAGAACAGCTATCATAATAGTCAAAGGAGGCATGAAAACATTATGTTTTATCACTCACTTTAAATCCTGTTGCATATGTTTAGAAATAAGTCTATTGCAAACTCTTAAATTTTCTCTACTTTTGAACATAGTGTTTATTTCCCACCTTCACTATAGCCACCGGCCCTCTCCTGGTGCCATTCACACTCAACTTCACCATCACTAACCTACAGTATGAGGAGAACATGGGTCACCCTGGCTCCAGGAAGTTCAACATCACGGAGAGTGTTCTGCAGGGTCTGGTAAGAGCCCCACCTATCTCACTCTGCCCTATCCACCTTACCTAGTCCCACCTATGTCACCTATATGGCCATGGAAGATCTCACCCACCTCCCCTCACCCCAAGAGATAAAAGCCCCATACAACCTACTGATGTCAGCTCCACCAACTACAGCCAGCCCCACCCACCTCACTTCTGCCGTGCCTCTACTTCTTCAGCCCTGCCACTCACCTCCCTCTCCCTCCCCAACAGCTCAAGCCCTTGTTCAAGAGCACCAGTGTTGGCCCTCTGTATTCTGGCTGCAGACTGACCTTGCTCAGGTGAGACCTTAGAATTTCCAGTGTGGCTGCCCCGATTATTCCTAGTCTCAATGAGTTTGGACTTCTTTTTTCCTGTCCTCTTTGTGATTATTCTTATCAAAGATGGAATCCAGGAAACTGGCTCCAGGACTAACCTGTCTCCTGGTATTAGCAGTGCCCCCGCCCCCACTTCCAAACTGACTGAGAGATTCCAGAGTCCATCAACAGGACTGGACTTCTGCCCTGGCCATTCCTCAGAATTCCCTGTTTTCCCCCCACCTCCCTTGACTTTAGGTGTTAAACTCTGTAACCAGGATTTCTCTCAAGACAAACATGCCTCAACCACTTGTTTTCATCCCCAATTCCAGCTCTTCAGCTATCTCAAGTCTGAGCTCTCCTGTTTCCATGCTTTAAGAATGCAGGATCCACCCTGCCATTTTGGGAAAACTGTTATATCCACAACTATGCTCACAGTCCCAAGCAGTCCAGTACACTCAGGGAATCTAAGTATTGCTTCCCACCTCTGTATTAGACTTTTTACTTCCTCTGTCCTTCTTGTCCTACACTCTGCCATCTCAAGACCTCTCCTTAGGCAATTCATTTATTGCCATTCCCCTCACCACCTCTCCCCAGGCCTGAGAAGGATGGAGTAGCCACCAGAGTGGACGCCATCTGCACCCACCGCCCTGACCCCAAAATCCCTGGGCTAGACAGACAGCAGCTATACTGGGAGCTGAGCCAGCTGACCCACAGCATCACTGAGCTGGGACCCTACACCCTGGATAGGGACAGTCTCTATGTCAATGGTAAGCAGCTCTGATGTGATTAGAGTCTCTTTCTCCTGCCTGGGCAGCCTCTACTCTCTTACTTGAGGTCACATGCCCTGCTTGGACACTGAAGGCTAGGACACGTCTGTATGTGGTGATTGATGTCAGAATTTCATGATTTCTTCTTTATCTTGAACTGATTTCATCCTTAGTAGCTTCTTCCCTGATACTCAGATTCTGACAGAGAATCTCCAAAGGCCCCTGTTCCATGAAACTCCTTTCATTCCACCAGGGTAGCCCTGACTTTTTTTTGACCCCCTACCTCCCCCTTGACTCTTATCCACACTCCTCCCTCCCTCTCTATGCAGGTTTCACCCAGCGGAGCTCTGTGCCCACCACCAGCAGTGAGTATTCTACTGATGTTCCCATGGCCCCAATCTTACAACAAACTTAGCAGGAGCTGACCCCTATTCATAAGCCCTTATGTCCTTTCCATAAGGGAAGGAACATAGAGGACACAAATTATTCCCCTTCCCCACTGCCCCAGCTAATCAGAATCCCAGCTGAAGCCCCACAGGCAAAAATCCCCATGAATAGTCCCTCCTGCTGGCATTACTTCCATGAGAGCACTTGCTCCTTTCACTGTTGAGGGCTTCTCCTCAGCTCCTGGGACTTTCACAGTACAGCCGGAAACCTCTGAGACTCCATCATCCCTCCCTGGCCCCACAGGTAAATACCAGTCAATGGTATTTGGAGCATGGTTGATGAGTGTAAACATCTCTGTTTATACTCTGTTAGAGCATGGTTGATGAGTGTAAACATCTCTGTCATTATTCACTCAACTAAAGATGGAAATTCATAGTAAATGTAGTAACCATAGGTCAACCAACCCAGTTCATTGAGCACTGCCTCTGTATCAGGACCTGGATATACATCAGGGAACAAAAAAAGAAAAAACACTGCCCTCAGTGAGCTTATATTATTGTGATGATGATGATGATGGGGGTGGCGGTGATGATGATTGCAGTGGTGGTGGTGGTGGTGGTGATGGTAAGGATAATGATGATTATGCTGGTGGTAATCATGGGAAGAATGATGGTGGTGGTGGGGATTACAATTGACAATAATTATGGGGATTTTGACAATAATGATAATAATAATGATGATGATGACGGTTGTGTTGATTGTGGTGATGATGTTGGAGTGGTGATGATAACAATGGTGACAATGATGGTAAAGATGATGATGGTTGTTTGGATGATGACAGTAATGTTGCTGGTTATGATGCTAATGATGATGTGATTATGGTGATGATGATGATGTTTGTGGTGGTGTTGATGTGGATTGTGACATTCGTGATGGTGAGGATGACAATAGTGATGGCGATAGTGATTATGATGACAATGATCGTGATGATGATTATTCAGATAATGACAGTGATGATGATTATGATGGTAATGATGATATGACTATGGTGATAATGATGTTTGTGGTAGTATTGATGGGGATTATCGTTGTGGTGATGGTCTTGGTGCTGATGCTGACAATAATGGTGATGATGATGATGATGATGATGATAATGGTGATGACAAAGGTAACAGGTAATATCTGATATTTTTCAGCACTGAATATGCACCAAAAGCTGGGCTCAGAATCTAACAAATATTATGTAATATGCTTTTTAAAAAAATAATTTCTATCAAGAAGGGCATGGAAACCTTTAATTTTGTCATTCATTTTAAATTCTGTTGCATATGATTAAAAATAAACTTATTGCAAACTCTTCAAGTCTATTGCAAAAGTCGAGAAACTTGAGGAGTTTGCAATAGACTTATTTTTAACTATATGCAACAGATTAAAAATACAAACAAACACAATAGTGTTTGTTTCCACACCTTTTACTACAGCCACTGGCCCTGTCCTGCTGCCATTCACCCTCAATTTTACCATCACTAACCTGCAGTATGAGGAGGACATGCGTCGCCCTGGCTCCAGGAAGTTCAACACCACGGAGAGGGTCCTTCAGGGTCTGGTGAGACCCCTGTCCAACTTACTCTGCCCCTCCCACGTTACCTGGTCCCAACAACATCACCCATGCCAGGGCCATGGAAGAAAATCTCATCCATCTCCCCTAGAGACACAAGCCCTGCCCACTGGTGCCAGCTGCACTCGCCACACTTGTGCCCCACCACTATATCCCCAGCCCTCCTAGTCACCTCCCTCTCCCTCTTCCACAGCTTATGCCCTTGTTCAAGAACACCAGTGTCAGCTCTCTGTACTCTGGTTGCAGACTGACCTTGCTCAGGTGAGACTTTAGAAGAGCTAGCCTAGCTGCCCCAATTGTTCCTAGTCGCAAAGAGTTTGGATTGTTTTTTTTTTTCCTGCCATCCCTGTGAATGTCCTCACAACAGATGGAATTCGGGAAGCATTGGCTTCAAAACTAATCTGTCTCCTGATACCATCAGCACCACCCCAATCAACTGCGAGATTCTGCAGAGTCCATGAGGAGAATTGTGCTTCTACCTTGGTCATCCCTCTGAATTCCCTCCTTTCCACCCACCTCCCTTTCCTCCAGTTGTTAAATTCTGTCCCCAGGATTTCTCACAAGACAAGCATGCCTCATCCACTTGCTTTCATCCCCAATTCCAGCTCTTCATCTGTCTCATGTCTGAGTACTCTTGTCTCCATGCCATGAGAATGCAGGCTTTACTTTGCAATTTTATAAAAAGTTCTTGCATCTATGACTCTGTTCACAGTCCTGGGCTGGCTGGCAGCCGGGACACTCAGAGAATCTAAATGTGACTTATTACCTCTTTCCCAGGCTTCTCATTTCCTCTGGCCCCTTCCTGTCTGGCCCCAGGAAATCTCAGAACTCCTCCTGAGGCAATTTTTAAATTGTTATTTGCTTCATCTGCCCTCCCTAGGCCTGAGAAGGATGGGGCAGCCACCAGAGTGGATGCTGTCTGCACCCATCGTCCTGACCCCAAAAGCCCTGGACTGGACAGAGAGCGGCTGTACTGGAAGCTGAGCCAGCTGACCCACGGCATCACTGAGCTGGGCCCCTACACCCTGGACAGGCACAGTCTCTATGTCAATGGTGAGCAACTTTGATGTGGTTGGAGTCTCTTCCTCCTTGCTGGACAGCCTCTATTCTCTGGCCTGAGGTCACACTTCCCGTCTGGCTATTGAAGGCTCAACCATGTTGTCTGTATGTGGTGGCTAAGGTCAAAACTTCGTGGTTTCTTCTTCATCTCAAACTGAATTTACCCTCAGGATCTGCTTTCTAAATCTGAGGGTGCTGATAGAGAATCTTCAATGGCCCGTGTTCTGGGAAATTCCTTCTGTTGCACCAGGGTACCCCACCACTCCCTTAACACTTACCCACTCTCGTCCCTCCATCTCAATGCAGGTTTCACCCATCAGAGCTCTATGACGACCACCAGAAGTGAGTATTAACTGATGTTCCAGTGCTCCTGATCCTACATCATAAAGGGCAGGAGCTTACCTCTCCTTCTATGCCCCTATATCCTCTTCATGAGGGAAGGAAGAGAGAGCACAAGTTATTCCCCTTTCCCTCTGGCCCAGCTCCAGATGGAGATACTGCCCCACATGCAGCAAGGGCCATAAATACTCCTACCTGCTGGTGTTTCTGCCATGAGAGGGTTTGCTGCTTTCACTAATACAGCAAACCTTCTCCTCAGCTCCTGATACCTCCACAATGCACCTGGCAACCTCGAGAACTCCAGCCTCCCTGTCTGGACCCATGAGTGAGTACTATTCAGTGTCATCTCTATTACAGCATGCCTGAGGAGTGTCAACATCTCTGCCATTTTCTTTTCTTTCTTTTTTTTCTTTTTTGAGACATAGTCTTGCTCTGTCACCCAGGCTAGAATGCAATGGCGTGATCTCAGCCCACTGCAACCTCTGCCTCCTAGGTTCAAGCGATTCTCCTGCCTCCACCTCCTGAGTAGCTGGGATTACAGGTGCATGCCACCATGCCCAGCTAATTTTTATATTTTTAGTAGAGGTGGAGCTTCACCATATTGGTCAAACTGATCTCGAACTCCTGACCTCGTGATCTGTCTGCCTTGGCCCCCCAAAGTGCTGGGATTACAGGCGTGAGCCACCGCACCTGGCCTACAACTCCACCATTTTCACTCAAATAAAAATGAAAAGTCCTAGTGAATCTAGTGATGACAAGTCAACCGACAAATTTTGTTGAGCGTCTGGCTTCTTCGGGGCCCTAGGGATAAGGCAGGGAACACAAAAGAAATAAAAATCTCTATCCTCAGGAAGGTTATATTGTTGTGATGATGATGATAATGATAGGGATGATGGACATGATGACAACAATGATGGTGTTGCTGATGATGGTGATGATGATGATGATGGTGGTAGTGGTTTTGATGGTGATGATGATGATAGTGGTGGTGATGATTATGGGAAGGATGATAGTGGTGGTGGTGATGTGATGGTTCTGATGGCAATTGACAATGTGATCATGATGTTGACAATGAGGATAATGATGGTGGTGATGATGATAATGATGTTGGTGGTGATGGTGGTTATGATAGTAAGAATGATATGATAATGGTGTTAGTGACCATGTGCTAGTGGTGATTATATGGATGATGATGGTTGTGGTGCTGGTGGTGTAATGATGATGATGGGTGGGGATCATAGGGATTATGATGGTCATGGTTTTGGTGCTGATGCTGGTGGTGATGACAATAATGATAGCGATGGTCACAGTGTTGCTGATGTTGATGATGATCGTGGTGTTGGCAAAGGTAGTAGATAATGTCTAGTAGTATGGAATACTGAATATGCACCAAGAGCTGTGCTTAGCATCTAACTACTATTATTTAGTATGCTCTATGAGAACTATGTACCATTACAGTGAAGGGAGGCGTGAAAACCTTTTATTTTGTCACTTTAAATCATGTTGCATATGTTTAGAAACAATTCTATCACAAATTCTTAAGTGTTAGTCTACTTTTGAACACTGTTTATTTCCCATCTTCACTATAGCCGCCAGCCCTCTCCTGGTGCTATTCACAATTAACTTCACCATCACTAACCTGCGGTATGAGGAGAACATGCATCACCCTGGCTCTAGAAAGTTTAACACCACGGAGAGAGTCCTTCAGGGTCTGGTAAGAGCCCCACATACCTCATTCTACCCCACTCACCATGTTTAGTCCTGCCCACCTCACCTATTGCAGAGCATGGAAGATCTCATCTACCTCATCTTGCCCCCAGATATGCATACCCCAACCACTGATGCCAGCCCCACCAACTGTTGCCAGCCCTGCCCACCTCCCTTCTACCACACCCCTATGACTTCAGTCCTCCCACTCACCTCCCTCTCCCTCCTCCACAGCTCAGGCCTGTGTTCAAGAACACCAGTGTTGGCCCTCTGTACTCTGGCTGCAGACTGACCTTGCTCAGGTGAGAACTGAGAACAGCCAGTCTGACTGATCTGAGCAGTTTGACCTGCTTCCCTTCTGCACTCCCTGGAGATGTCCGCAGCCAGGTGGAATCCAGGAGGCAGTGGCTCTAAGACCAATGTGCTTCCTGTTCCCACCACCTCCCACCTCAACTGAGAGATGCAGAGCCCATCAGCAGGACTGAGCTTCTACCTTGGTCATCCCTCTGAATTCCCTCCTTTCCCCTACCTGCCTTTCCACAAGTGGTTCAATTCTGTTCCCAGGATTTCTCCCAAGAAAAACATGCCTCGTCCACTTGCTTTCATCCCCAAACCTAGCTCTTCACCTGTCTCAAGTATGAGTTCTCCTTACCCCATGCTACAAGAATGCAGTTTCCACTTTGCAATTTTATAAAAATCCTTGCATCCATGATTCTGCTCATAGTTGCTAAGAGTCAGTGCACTCAGAGAATGGAAGTATGGCTTCTCACTTCTCTACCAGGCTTCTCATTTCCTCTGGCCCCCTCCTGTCCTGCCCTGTGGGATCTCAGAACCCCTCCCTAGGCAATCCGTGTATTGTCTTTCCCCAATCTTGCCCTCCCCAGGCCCAAGAAGGATGGGGCAGCCACCAAAGTGGATGCCATCTGCACCTACCGCCCTGATCCCAAAAGCCCTGGACTGGACAGAGAGCAGCTATACTGGGAGCTGAGCCAGCTGACCCACAGCATCACTGAGCTGGGCCCCTACACCCTGGACAGGGACAGTCTCTATGTCAATGGTGAGTAGTTGTGATGTGGTTGGAGTCTCTTCCTCCTTGCTGGGCAGCCTCTACTCTCTGCCTTGAGGTCACGCTCCCTGCCTGGCTATTGAATGCTCATCCATGTTGTCTGTATGTGATGGCTGAGGTTGGAACTTCATGGTTTCTATTTCATCTTGGACTGAGTTCATCCTCAGGATCTGCTTTCTGGATCTGAGGGTGCTGATAGAGAATCTTCAATGGTTCGTGTTCTGGGAAATTCCTTCCATTGCACCAGGGTACCCTGACCCCTATATAGTTCCCCACCACTCCCTTAACCCTTACCCACCCTCTTCCCTCCCTCTCTATGCAGGTTTCACACAGCGGAGCTCTGTGCCCACCACTAGCAGTGAGTATCCACTGATTTCCAGTGCTCCTGATCCTACATCATGCAGGGCAAGAACTGACCCCTCCTCACATGCCCCTATGTCCTCTATGAGCAAAGGAGCTGGGACAGCACAAGTTACTCCCTTTCCCTTCTGGCCCAAGTCTCTTCAGAGAGAGACCCAGCTCAAGCCCCACATGCAGCAAGGTCCATAAATACTCCTACCTGCTGGCATTTCTGCCATGAGAGGGTTCAACACTTTCACTAATGAGGCCTTCTCCTCAGTTCCTGGGACCCCCACAGTGGACCTGGGAACATCTGGGACTCCAGTTTCTAAACCTGGTCCCTCGGGTAAGTACAAATCAATCGCATCTCTGTTAGAGCATGCCTGATGACTGTCAACATCTCTGCCATTTTCACTTAAATAAAGATAAAAAATCCTAGTGAATCTACGGATGAGGAGTCATCCAGCAAACTTAATTGAGTGCCTAGTTTCTGCAGGGCTCTAGGGATAAGGAAGGGGACACAAAACAGTTAAAAATATCTGCTGCAAGAAAGCTTATTTTATTGTGAGGGTGATGGGAGTTGGTGGTGGTGAAGTTACTGGAGATGATGACAATAAGAATGGTGATGCTAGTGATGATGATGGTGATAAGGATGATAATTATGAAGATGGTGGTGGTGATGATGATGATGGTGGTGGCAGGGGTTATGATGGTGATGCTGTGATGATGATTACAATGGTGGTGGTGATTATGGGAAGGATGATAGTGGTGTTGGTGATGGTGGTAGTCTTGGTAGTGATTGACAATAGTAATGACGATGTTGACAATGAGAATAATGATGATGATGGTAGTGGTGGTGGTTATGATGGTAATCATGTGATGATGATCAGGACAGTTGTGGGGGTGATTATGGGAAGAATGATGGTGGTAAGGATGGTGGCGGTTGTGGTAGTGATTGACAATAGTGATTGTGATGGTTACAATGAAGATAATGATGATTATAATGATGATGGTTGTGATGGTGGTTGTGGTGATGAGAATAATGATGATACGACAATGGTGTTGGTAATCATGGTGCTGGTGATCATGATGCAAATGATGATGATTGTGGTGGTGGTGATGATGATGATGATGGTAGTGGGGATGCTACCACACTGTTGGTCATGATTTTGGTGCTGATGTGGGTGGTGCTGATGCTGGTGGTGATGACAATAATAGTGAGGGTCACAGTGTTGGTGACATTGATGATGACAATGGTAATAATAAAGGTAACAGATAATATTTAGTATTATAGAACTCTGAATATGCACCAAGAGGTATGCTAACTACTACTATTATTTAGTAGGCTTTGTTAGAAACTTCTGTTGTTATAGTCAAGGGACGCATGGAAACTTTTTATATTATTCTCTCTTTAAATCCTGTTGCATATGTTTAGAAGTAGGCCTTTTGGAAATATATAAAGTTCTCCACTTTTGAACATGTTGTTTCTTTCCCACCTCCACGACAGCTGCCAGCCCTCTCCTGGTGCTATTCACTCTCAACTTCACCATCACCAACCTGCGGTATGAGGAGAACATGCAGCACCCTGGCTCCAGGAAGTTCAACACCACGGAGAGGGTCCTTCAGGGCCTGGTAAGAGCCCCGCCCATCTCACTCTGCCCAGTTCACCTTGTCTAGTTCCACCTGTCTCACTCATGACAGGGCATGGAAGAAGATCTCACCCACCTCCTCTCACACCCAGAGCCGTGAGCCCCCATCCACTGATGCCAGGCCCGCCTACTGGTGCCAGCCCCAATGACTAGTCCCCTGACGCTACCCCCTCAGCCATCCTACTCACCTCCCTCTCCCTCTCCCACAGCTCAGGTCCCTGTTCAAGAGCACCAGTGTTGGCCCTCTGTACTCTGGCTGCAGACTGACTTTGCTCAGGTGAGACCTTAGAATTGCCAACCTGTCTGCCCCAATTGTTCCCAGTCTCCATGAGTGTGGACTTCTTTTTTCTTGCCCTCTCTGTGGTTATTCTGATCAAAGATGGAACTCAAGGAACAGTGGCTCCAAGACTAACCTGTCTCCCAATATTACCACTGCCCCCTGCCATCACACCCAAATTGACTGAGAGTTTCCACAGGGTCCATCAGCAGGATTGGACTTCCACCCTGGCCATCCCTCTGAATTCCCTCTTTTCTCCCCACCTCCCTTGCCCTTAGGTGTTAAATTCTCTAACTAAGATTTCTCTCAAGACAAATGTGCCTCATTCACTTGTTTAATTCCCAATTCCAGCTTGTCACCTGTCTCAAGTCTAGGCTGTCCTGTCCCCATGCCATGAGAATGCAAGAACCACACTGAAATGTTAGAAAAATTCTTTTATCCACAAGTATGCTCACCGTCCCAAGCTGGACAGTAGTCAGTGCACTCAGAGAATCTAAGTGTGGCTTCTCATCTGTGTACCAGGCTTCTCATTTCCTGTGGCCCCTTCTTGTCCTTCCCTCAGCAATCTTGGGACTCCTCCCTAGACAAAACTTTATTATTATTCCCCTCACCTGCCCTCTCCAGGCCTGAAAAGGATGGGACAGCCACTGGAGTGGATGCCATCTGCACCCACCACCCTGACCCCAAAAGCCCTAGGCTGGACAGAGAGCAGCTGTATTGGGAGCTGAGCCAGCTGACCCACAATATCACTGAGCTGGGCCCCTATGCCCTGGACAACGACAGCCTCTTTGTCAATGGTGAGCAATTGTGATGTGGTTGGAGTTTCTTCTTCCTTGCTGAGCAGGCCTCTACTCTCTGTCTTGAGGTCACTCTCCCTGCCTGGCCACTGGTCTTGGCCATGTTGTCTGTATTTGATGATTGATATGAACTTCACCGTTTCTTCTTCATCTTGTACTGGAGACCTTCATCCTCAGGACCTTCTTCCCTGATCTGAGTGTACTTGTATAGAATCCTCAAAGCCCATGTTCCCTGAAACTCCTTCAATTGCACCATGGTAGCACTGACCCCTTTTGGTCCCCCACCTTTCCCTTAACCCTTTCCCACTCTCCTCCCTCCCTCTCTATGCAGGTTTCACTCATCGGAGCTCTGTGTCCACCACCAGCAGTGAGTATTCTACTAATGTTCCAGTAACCCCAGTCCTACTCCAAGCAGGACAGGAGCTGACCCCCTTCTCCTATGCCCCTATATCTTCTTCATGAGGGAAAGATCTGAGAGGGCACAAGTGATTCCCTTTCCCTCTGGCCCAGCTCCAGAGAGACACTAATCTCAAGCCCCACATGCAGAAATATTCCTATCTGCTGGCATTTCTGCCATGAAAGAGCTTATGCTGCTTTAACCAATGCGGGCTTCTCCTCAGCTCCTGGGACCCCCACAGTGTATCTGGGAGCATCTAAGACTCCAGCCTCGATATTTGGCCCTTCAGGTAAGTACCAGTCAATGGCACCTCTATTAGAGTATGCATGATGAGTGTCAACATCTCTGTCCTTTTCACTCAAATAAGATTAAAAATCATAGCAAATTTACTGATGATGAGTCACCCAACAAACTTCTTTGAGTACCCACTCTCTGCCAGGCCCTAGAGATAAGGCAGGGAACACAAAAGAGGTAAAAATCTCTGCCCTCAGAGAGCTTCTTTTATTTTGAGGATGATGTGGGATAGTGGTGATGATGATGTTGCTGGAGATGATTACAATAATGATGGTGATGCTTATGACCATGATGTGATGATGATGGTGATTATGAAGATGATGATGATGATATTGATGATGGTAGTGGTTTTGACAGTAATGATGATGTGATGATGATGATGATAGTGGTGGTGGTGATTATGGGAAGGATGACAGTGGTGGTGGTGATGGTGGTGGTTGTGGTGGTGATTGACAATGTGGTGGTGATATTGACAATGAGGATGATGATGATAGTGGTGGTGGTTATGATGGTTAAGGATGATGTGATGATGGTGTTGGTGATCACGGTACTAGTGGTGGTGATGTGGACCGTCATGGTTGTGGTTGTGGTGGTGATGGTGGTGATCATGATGATAATGAGGATGATGGTGGTGATTGTCATGATGGTAAGGATGAAACAGTGATGGTGTTGGTGACCATGTTCCTGGTGGTGATGGTGCAGGTGATGATGTGGATGATGATGGTGATGGTGGTGGAGATGATAGGGATTATGAAGATCATGGTTTTTGTCCTGATGGTGGTGGTGATGACAATAATGAAAATGATGGTCACAGTGTTGGTGATGATGATGGTGGTGATAACAAAGGTAATAGATAGTGTCTAGTATTATGGAACACAGAACATCACCAAAGGTTATGCTCAGCATCTAACTATTATTATTTAGCATGCTCTATGAAAAACTTTGATCGTTATAGTCAAGGGAGGCATGAAAACCTTCTATTTTATCACTCTCTTTAAATCTGGTTGCATATGTTTAGAAATAAATCTATTACAAACTCTTAAATGTTCTCTACTTTTGAACATAGTGTTTATTTCCCACCTCCACTACAGCTGCCAGCCATCTCCTGATACTATTCACCCTCAACTTCACCATCACTAACCTGCGGTATGAGGAGAACATGTGGCCTGGCTCCAGGAAGTTCAACACTACAGAGAGGGTCCTTCAGGGCCTGGTGAGAGCCCTGCCCACCTCACTCTGCCCTGCCCACCTTGTCTTGTTCCACCTACGTCACCCATTCCAAGGCATGGAAGAAGATCTCACCCACCTCCCCTCACCTGAGAGATAGCCCCGCCCCCTGATTACAGCCCCTTCCACCTTACATCTTCCTCACTTCTATGTCCTCAGCCATCTTACTCACCTCCCTCTTCCTCCTCCACAGCTAAGGCCCTTGTTCAAGAACACCAGTGTTGGCCCTCTGTACTCTGGCTGCAGGCTGACCTTGCTCAGGTGAGAACTGAGAATAACCAGTCTGGCTACCCCAAGTGTTCCCAGGCCCAAGGAGTTTCATCAGCTTTCTTCCTTCCCTCCCTATGGAAGTCCTCAGCACAAGTGGAATTCAGGCGTTGGTGGCTCCAGGATGAACATATCTGCTGATCCTACCACCTCCCCCATCAATCGAGAGAATTTGCAGGGCCCATCAGCCAGATCAGGCTTCTACTTTGGTCATCCTTCTGAATTTCTTACTTCTCCCTACCTCCCTCTCCTTCAGGTGTTAAATTCTCTTCCAAGGTTTCTCTCAAGATAAACATCCCCCATCCACTTGCTTTCATCCCCAATTCCAGCTCTTAATATTTCTCAAGTCTGGGCTCTCCTGTCCCCATACCATGAGAATGCAATTTTATAAAATTCTTGTATTCCTGACTCTACTCACATTCCCAGGCTGCCTGGAAGTTGGTGCATTCAGAGAATCTTAGTATGGCTTCTCACCTGTCTACCAGGATTCTCATTTCCTCTGTCCCCTTCCTGTCCTGCCCCCAGGAATCTCAGGATGCCTCCCCATAGGCAATCTATTTAATGTCATCCCCCTTATCTGCCCTCCCTAGGCCAGAGAAAGATGGGGAAGCCACCGGAGTGGATGCCATCTGCACCCACCGCCCTGACCCCACAGGCCCTGGGCTGGACAGAGAGCAGCTGTATTTGGAGCTGAGCCAGCTGACCCACAGCATCACTGAGCTGGGCCCCTACACACTGGACAGGGACAGTCTCTATGTCAATGGTGAGCGGCTGTGATGTGGTTGGAGATTCTTCCTCTTTGCTGGACAGCTTCTTACTCTCTGACTTGAGGTCACACTCCCTGACTGGCCATTGACGTCTTGGCTATGTTGTCTGTATGTGATGACTGATGTCTGAACTTCATAGTTTCTTCATCTTGGACTGAGTTCATCCTCAGTACCTTCTTCCCTGATCTGAGGGTACTGATAGAGAATCTTCAAAGGCCCCTGTTCCTTGAAACTTCTTCCATTCCACTAGGGTATCTGTGACCCCTATTTGATTCCCCACCTCTCCCTTAACCCTTACCCACTCTCCTCCCTCCTTCTCTGTGCAGGTTTCACCCATCGGAGCTCTGTACCCACCACCAGCAGTGAGTATTCAACCGATGCTCCAGTAGCCCCAATTATACACCAAGCAGGGCAGGAGCTGTCCTGTCTTCCTATGCCCCTATGTCCTCTTCATAAAGGAAGGGGCTGGGAGGGCACAAGTTATTCCCTTTCCCTTCTGGCCAGCTCCAGAGAGAGACCCAGCTCAGGCCCGATATGCAGCAAGGCCTGTAAATAGTTTTATTTGCTGACCTTTCTGCCATGAGAGGCTTGGATGCTTCCCCTGAAGAGGGTTTCTCTGTAGCTCTTGGGACTACCACAGTGGACCTGGGAAACTCTGGGGATCCACCCCTTCTACTGGTCCCTTGAATAAGTACCAGCCAATGGCACCTCTGTTAGAGCATGGCTGATGAGTGTAAACATCTCTTCCATTATTCAGTCAAATAAAGATGGAAATTCTTTATAAATCTAGTGATGATGAGCCAACCAACAAACTTTATTGAGCATTGTGACAAGCCCTGGGGCTCTGCCAAATCCTGGGGATATGGCATGGATCATGAAACAATTAATAATCTCTCCTCTCAGAGAGCTATTTTTATGATGATACTGATGGTGGCAATGATGATGATGTTGATGGTGATTATGACCATGATGACAATGGTGATGGTGGTGGTGATGATGGTAATGATGATGATGGTGATGTTGGTAATGATGGTGGTGATTATGACAATAATGATGGTGATGGTGACAGGGATGGTGATGATTATGATGGTGGTGGTGATAACAAAGTTAATGGATAATATATGAACTTATTGGCTACTGAATATGCACCAAAGTGCTATGCTCAGTGTTTAACTAGTACTATTTAATATGATTTCTAAAAAAAATCTTGAATTATTATAGGCAGAAGAATCATGGGAACCTTTTATTTTGTCACTCACTTTAAGTCCTATTGCATATTTTTTAAGTCAATTGCAAACACAGTTTCTCTGCTTTGAACATTGTGTTTATATCCAGTCACCCCAATAGTGCATAAACCTGCTGATTGGAGCAACTGTGTCTTACTCCCTTGTGCTTCCCTAGTATCTGCTTCAGGACCTTGTACATGGTAGATCGACAGATTTAGATCTACAGGAAAATATGGATTTTCCCAGGGAAGGAAGGAATGAAGTATGCTTTCTTATAATGTATGGAAACTTTCCTCTTCTGCCTTGGTTCAACTTTAGTGTCTGCCAGAGTTTACACTGGAAAACTATATGGCATCTGCTCCACTCCCTCATCCATGACAGACATCATTAATTGATTGCAGCATTCATGGCAGACATCACCAATTGATAATAGCATTCATTTTCTCTCAGTTCAAAACAGCTTCAGAATGGTTACCAAAAAAAAAAAATTCAGTCGCTACCAATTCAATTGGAGCTGACTCAGGATTATGGGACAGAATTCAAGAGAGTTAGGTTCCTTGATGATGTGTAGTTGGCTCTTTGGTTTTCCTAGAAGGCTCAGCTCAGGCTCAGCTTGGTCATTGCTGATATCCTTTCTTCCACTTGGTCGATTTGGCTGTTGATACTTATGTATGCTTCACGAAGTTTTTGTGCTGTGTTTTTCAGCTCCATCGGTTGGTTTATGTTCCTCTCTAAACTGGTTATTCTAGTTAGCAATTCCTTTAACCTTTCATCAAGGTGCTTAGCTTTGCATTGCATTAGAACATGCTCCTTTAGCTCATCGTACTTTTTTATTGCCCATCTTCTGAAGCCTACTTCTGTCAATTCATCCATCTGATCCTCCATCCAGTTCTGCACCCTTAATGGAGAGATGTTGCGGTCATTTGGAGGAAAAGAGGCACTCTGGCCTTTTGGGTTTTCAGCATTTTTTTGTTGATTATTTCCCATCTTCAGGAGTTTTAGTTTCAGGCTTTGAGGCTGCTGATCCTTGGATGGGGTTTTTATGGGGGTCTTTTGGTTGTTGTTGTTGATGATGATGATGTTATTGTCACTTTCTGCTTGTTTTTCTTTCAATAGTCAGGTCCCTCTTCTGTAGGGCTGCTGCAGTTTGCTAGGGGTTCACTTCAGGCCCTATTCATCTGATTCGCTCCCATGTCTGGAGGTGTCACTCAAGGAGGCTTGGAGAGCAGCGAACATAGGTGCCTGCTTCTTCTGGGACCTCTGACCTCGAGGGACACCAACCTGATGCCAGTAGGATCGCTCCTGTGTAGGGTGTCTGACAACTATTGTTGGAGGGTTTCGCCCAGTTGACTGGCATGGAGAGCAGGACCCATTTAATGAAGCACTTTGTCCCCTGGTGGAGAGGGGGTTCTTCACTGGGGGGAAACCACATGTCTGGGCTGCTTGGATTCCTCAGAACTACCAGAGGAGAGGCTAAGTCTGCTGGTCCACAGAGACTACAGCCATCCCTCCCACTAGGGGCCCAAGCCCAGGGAGTCCAAATTCTGTCTCTGAGCCTCTGGCTGGAGTCTTTGGAGATCCTGCAAGGAAGCTCTGCCCACTGAGGAAGGATGGGTCAGGGTTAGCCCTGAAGAGGCACTCTGGCTGCAGACTGCCACAGCCGGTGTGTTGGGCTGTGGGGACAAGTCTTGGGACCAAGCCGTCCAGCCTACCCGGCTCTAGCAGGGGAAAAGTACAGCCTGGAGCTATTGAAAGGGGTGCCGCCCTTCCCCCGCCCAGGGAGCTTAGCGTGTTAGGCAGTTGTGAGTCCAGTGCTGGCTGTCGCCCCTTCCCCAAGGAACAAAAAAGACTTAGCAGGCAGCCGCAGCCAGTGCTGGTCGCCCCTCCCCCGGGGAGTTCCGTAGGCTTAGGCAGATTCCAGCTGTAAGAATCTGCGTGTTCTGGGGTTGGGACACTAGGTCCCAGTGGCATGGGTTCGCGAGTGAGATCTTCCAATCTGTGAGTTGCACAGTTCCGTGGAAAAAGCACAGTTTCCCCCTCTTGGGTAGCCCGCTCACTCACCACCTCCCTTGGCTGGAAGGAGGGGGTTCCCCTTCCCCGTGTGTCTCTCAGGTGGGCCACCACACCACACTGCTCTTCCTTCTCTCTGTGGGTCACTGCCAGCCTTCTAGTCAATTTTGATGAGGGAACCTGGACATTTTGGTTGCCAGGAAGGATCACACACTTATTACAGTTTTTTTCAATGTGAGCCTCTGAGCGCTGCTGCTTATAGTCGACCATCTTGGCCCCCAGAGTCACACATCTGTTATTTTTTGATGTTTTGATTGTGGCAATTCTTGCAGAAGTAAGGTGGTATCACCTTATGGTTTTGATTTCCCTGGTCATTAGTGATGTTGAACATTTTTTTCATATGTTCATTAGCCATTTGTATATATTCTTTCAACAACTGTCTATTTATGTCCTTAGCCCACTTTTTGATGGGATTGTTTTTTTCTTGCCAATTTGTTTGAGTTCGTTGTAGATTCTAGATATTAGTCCTTTGTTGGATATATAGATTGTGAAGATTTTCTCCCACTCTGTGGGTTGTCTGTTTACTCTACTGACTGTGAAGGAAAAGTCAATTTCTTATACGAATTTGTCTCACTCCTACTTCCAAATGAGATCCTGGGGTTTTTTTTTTCTGTTAATCCTTCACAATACTTCTCCCACTTTTTTGAACTCATTTGTTTATATTCTGTTGTCTGCTTCTCTTTTATAGGAATGTGACTTCTTATGGGCTTTCTCTATTATACCACATATGGGTTTTTGTTTTGTTTTGTTTTGTTTTGTTTTGTTTTTGTCCTCGGATCCATTCTCCAACCTCCTCCAGCCTTCCCGTGCTCTGTGGGATAGACGTCTGACTCATGAAAACTACATTTCCCAGGCTCCCATGCTAACTAGCTTCCTGTTAGGTTCAGCCAATAGGAGGCATTGGTGGGACAATGGTGGGCGGGGCTATGGAAGGGCCAGAGTATTTCTGTACCCCGCCCCCCTGCTCCCCTTCCAATGTTCCTGGAGCGGTGTAGGACCAATACTGTATATATGGAAGGAAGGCAAGGTGGATAGATGGAAGGAAGAAGTGACAGATGGAAAGAAGAAGTGATAAATGGAAGGAGGAAGGGAGAGAGGATGGATGAGTGGATTGAAGAAAGAAAAAAATGGATGAAAGAAAAAAGGAGGAGGAAAGATGGATAAGTAGATGGAAGGAAGAAAAGAGAGGTGTAAGAAAGGAAAGATTGATGATGGATGGATGAATGGATCAGTGGGTGAGTGGGTGAAGGGATGAATGGATGGATGGACAGATGGATGAACAGATGGGTGGGTGGATAGATGGATGGATGGATAAATGGGTAGGTGGATGGATGGATGGATGGACAGATGGGTGGGTAGGTGGATGGATGGATAGATGGATGGATAAGTGAATGGATGGATGGATGGATGGATGGATAAATGGATGGATGGGTGAAAGGAAGGAAAGAAGTGAGAGAAGGAAGAGGAAGGATAGACAGATGTTAGAAGGTACAATGAAAGGAAGGAAGCCAGCAAGAAAGAAAGGATGCATTAATAGAATGAAAGATGGAAGGGAAGAAGAAAGGATGGAAAGAGAGAAGGAAGAATGAACAGAAGGAAGTTCAAGAGTGGTGAAAAGAAGAAAGGCAGGGAGAGAAGGAGAAGTAAACTTTTCTTCTAGAGATTTGTCTTAAACCTTAGCTTGGCTGGACACTGTGGTTCACGCCTGTAATCCCAGCACTTTGGGAGGCCGAGGCGGGTGGATCATGAGGTCAGGAGATCAAGACCATCCTGGCTAACACGGTGAAACCCTGTCTCTACTAAAAATACAAAAAAAATTTAGTCAGGTGTGGTGGTGCATGCCTGTGGTCCCAGCTACTCAGGAGGCTGAGGCAGGAGAATGGCATAAAACCTGGGAGGCAGAGCTTGCAGTGAGCCAAGATCACACCACTGCACTCTAGCCTGGGCGACAAAGTGAGACTCTGTCTCAAACAAAAACAAAACAAAAAAACAAAAACAAAAAACAAAACCAAACCAAAACAAAAAAAAAAACCTTAACTCATACTTTCATAAAGTTCCACACACAGGGAGTGATTAGAAAGCATTTGCTGATATATTTTATATAATAAACATGTACACCATATTGACCTGTGTGCCCAGCAGTGCTTACATGATTTACAATGATTAACTTGTTTAAGCTTCATAACAACGGTTGAGGCAGGAAACATCATTGTGAACCATTGTCATCTCATTTTACAGATGAGTAAACTGAAGTGCTGAGAGGTTGGTTATGGCTGCAAAGATTGTTGGCCATGTTAACCAATGCATAGAAGATTAGCATACCTGGTTGTGAGTGCAGGAGAGAGAGAGAAATGGGAGAAAGGCAGAGAAGGATCGATGGGGAGAGAGGAAGAGAGAGAGAGAGAATAAATTTTTTAAAAATGTCTAGAGTCATGACTTCCGCATCAGTGTGGTAATATGCAGCCTTTACCCTGGGAAAGATCAGAACCATTGGTACTTTTTACAGAATCTTCCCTTCCTGCATTTGGGTAGAAGGACCCCATCTGGACATCCCAAATCATTAAGCACACCCTTACTGGCTGCTGGAGTTGTCTCCATTAAAAGTCACCGTTGGGTTTATTAAGAGGCGGACACAGGGTCCTTAGAACACACTGCCCCCACCCTGTCCCACACCACCCCCCACCCACCCATCATCCTCCCCAAGAGCTTCATCTCTCTCTCTCTTCCCCCTGCCCTAGCCGGGGTGGTCAGCGAGGAGCCATTCACACTGAACTTCACCATCAACAACCTGCGCTACATGGCGGACATGGGCCAACCCGGCTCCCTCAAGTTCAACATCACAGACAACGTCATGCAGCACCTGGTGAGAGGCCTGCCTCCCGCTGCAGCCCTGCCATGCCCATCCTAGGGCTGTTGCCTGCCTGCCTCTGACCAACCCAAGCTCCCTTCTCCCTCTGCAGCTCAGTCCTTTGTTCCAGAGGAGCAGCCTGGGTGCACGGTACACAGGCTGCAGGGTCATCGCACTAAGGTGAGAAACTCCCCCACCCACAGCGCACCACCAAGAACTTAGAGTTCTGACTGGGAGGTCCCTCTTGGGTTGGGGTGGGCTACATATTTTTTTAAATCTTTTTATCTTTCCTTTTTTTTTTTTTGAGATGAAGTTTCGCTCTCGTTGCCCAGGCTAGAGTGCAATGGCACGATCTTGGCTCACTGCAACCTCTGCCTCCCGGGTTCAAGTGATTATCCTGCCTCAGCCTCCCCAGTAGCTGGGATTACAGGCAGGCACCACCATGCCTGGCTAATTGTTTTGTATTTTTAGTAGAGATGGGGTGTCTCCATGTTGATCAGGCTGGTCTTGAACTCCTGACTTCAGGTGATCCACCCTCCTCAGCCTCCCAAAGTGCTGGGATTACAGGCGTGAGCCACCATATCTGGCCCCATTCTTTTTTTTTAAATGAATTTAAGGAGTGCAAATGCAGTTTTTGTTACATGCATATATTCCATAGTGAAGTCTGCAGACAGTAGACTTCCAGACAGTAGCTTCTGGTGTATCACCCGAATAGTGTACATTGTACTTATTAAGTGAGGTTCCCCACCCTTCTCCCACTCTCCCACCTTTCTGAGTATCCAGTGTCTATTATTCCACACTCCAGGTCCATGCTCTCACGTATAAGTGAGAACGTATGGTATTCCACCATGAGCTAATGGACATGGAGTCCATTGGCTCCCACTTATAAGTGAGAGCATGCGGTATTTGACTATTTCTGAGTTTCACTTAAGATAATGGACTCCCATTCCATCCATGTTGCTGCAAAATACATGATTTCACTCTTTTTATGGCTGAATAGTATTTCGTGGTATATATATATACCACATTTTCTTTATCCAGTCTTCTACTGATGGACACTTAGGTTGGGTCCATACCTTTGCTGTGAATAGTGCTGCAATAAACATACACGTGCAGGTGTCTTTTTTATATAATGATTTCTTTTTTTCTTTCTTTTTTTTTGATATAACGATTTCTTTTATTGGGTAGATCCCCAATAGTGGGATTGCTGGGTCAAATGGTAGTTCTACATTTTTGTTCTTTGAGAAATCCTCATACCATTTTCCATAGATTGTACTAATTTGGATTCCCACCAACAGTGTATAAGAGTTCCCTTTTCTTTTATTCTTGCCAGCATCTGGTTGTTTGTTGTTTGTTTGGTTGGTTGGTTGGTTTTTGTCTTTTTAGTAATAGTTATTCTGACTGGTATTAATAACTTTTTTATTTATTCATGACAGTTTGATTTTTGACATATAAAAATTGCTTGCATTTAAAGTGTACAACTTGATATTTTGGTATACATTGTTAAATCATGGCCACATTTCAGCTAATTAATATATCTATTATCTCTACATAGTTATCATGTTTGTACCCTTTGACCAGCATCACCCCATTTGCTCCTCCTCCCAGCCCCTGGCAACCACCATCCTACTCTCTGCTTCTATGAGTCTGACAATTTTAGATTCCACCTATAAGTTAGATTATGCGGTATTTGTCTTTCTGTGCCTGGCTTATTTCACTTAGCCTAATGTCCTCCAGCTCCATCTATGTTATCCCAAGTGGCAGGATTTTCATCTTTCTTATATATTTCATTGTATATGTGTATGCCACATTTTCTTTACCCATTCATCCATTGAAGGTCATTTAGCTTGTTTCCATATCTTGGCTATTTTGAATAGTGCTGCAATGAACATAGGAGTGCAGATATCTCTTTAAGATACTGGTTTCATTTCTTTCTTTCTTCTCTTTTTTTTTTTTCTGAGACAGAGTCTGACTCTGTCGCTCAAGCTGGAGTACAGTGGTGCAATCTTGGCTCACTGCAAACTCTGCCTCCTGAGTTCAAGCGATTCTCGTGCCTCAACCTCCCAGGGAGTTTTGCTCTTGCTGCCCAGGCTGAAGTGCAGTGGTGCAATCTTCACTCACCACAACCTGTGCCTCCCGGGTTCAAGCGATTCTCGTGCCTCAGCCTCCCAGGTAGCAAGGATTACAGGCGCCCAACACCACACCAGGCTAAATTTTTTTGCATTTTTAGTAGAGACGGGGTTTTGCCATGTTGGCCAGGCTGGTCTCAAATTCCTGGCCTCAAGTGATCCACCTGCCTCAGCCTCCTGAAGTGCTGGGATTTTACAGGCATGAACCACCACACATGGCCTCATTTCTTTTAGATATATATGGGTTGAGCTATTCTCAGAGGGTCCTTTTCTGCATCTATTTAAGATCACATTTTTTTTATATTGTGGCAAAAATACATGTAACATAAAATCTGCCATTTTAACCATTTTTAAATGTACAATTCAGTGACATTGATTATATTCACAATGTCATACAGCCATCACCACTATTTATTTCTAATACTTTTCCATTGGGTAGATCCCCAACAGTGGGATTGCTGGGTCAAATGGTAGTTCTGATTTTTTTTTTTTGTTTTTTGAGAAATCTCCATACTGTTTTTCATTTGAGGTTGTACTAATTTACATTCCCACCAACAGTGTATAAGAGTTTCCTAGGCCGGGCATGGTGGCTTATGCCTGTAATCCCAGCACTTTGCGAGGCCCAGGTGGGTGGATCATGAGGTCAGGAGATCGAGACCACCCTGGCTAACATGGTGAAACCCCGTCTCTACTAAAAATGCAAAAAATTAGCCGGGCGTGGTGGCGGGTGCCTGTAGTCCCAGCTACTGGAGAGGCTGAGGCAGGAGAATGGCATGAACCCTGAAGGCGGGGCTTGCAGTGAGCTGAGATCGCACCACTGCACACTTCAACCTAGGCGACAGAGCGAGACTCCATCTCAAAAAAAAAAAAAAAAAAAAAGGTTTCCTTTCAGTGCATCCTTGCCAACTTGAGTTTTCTGGGTTGGTTTGCACTCTCATGGTATTTACTAGATACTTCTCCATTTATATTTTTACTCAACCCATGCCCATAACACCACTCCTCTACCATTCCCACCAACCATGTATAAGAGTTCCTTTTCTTGCATCCTTGCCAACTTGACTTCTTTGGGTCAGTTTGCACTCTCTTGGTATTTACTATTTACTTCTCCATTTATATTTTTAGTCAACTGATGCCCATGGCACCGCTCCTCTGAGGCAGGTGCTGGGTACTAGAGTGATAAGACAGATGCTGTCCCTGCCCTCACCCAGTGGAGAAGAACAGATGCTAAACAGGAACATAAATATCTAAGTAAAATGGCTTCAAATGGAGTAAAGTGATATGAAACATAAATAAATAGCAAGTGATGGGTAGAGCAACTTTACCCAGGATGAATCTTGGGCTGTGTCCCAAATGGCCATGAAAACTGTTCCAGGCAGGGAGAACAGCATGAGAAAAGGTCTTGAGGTGCAAATGAGCTTGGCATGTTCTATGAACAGCAAAGAGGCCAGTGTGGCTGGAGCAGAGAGAGAGCAAGAAGAAAAGAGAGAAAGGATGAGACTCAAGACATCAGCAAGTTTGAAGGGCCTTGGAGGACTTGGATTTTTTTTTTTAAGACAGCTTTGTTCTTGTTGCCCAGGCATGATCTCGGCTCACCACAACCTCCGCCTCCTGGGTTCAAACGATTCCTCTGCCTCAGCCTCCCGAGTAGCTGGGGTTACAGGCATGTGCCACCACACCTGGCTAATTTTGTATTTTTAGTAGAAATGGGGCTTCTCCATGTTGGTCAGGCTGGTCTCGAACTCCCGACCTCAGGTGATCCGACCGCCTCGGCCTCCCAAAGTGCTGGGATTATAGGTGTGAGCCACTGCACCTGGCTTGGATTTTTTTTTTCTATATTGTGGTAACATACACATCACATTAAATTGATCATTTTAGCTATATTTCCCGTTCAGTGGCATCAAGCACATTCACATTATTGTGCAACCATCACCACTATCATCCATCTCCAGAACTTTCTCATCTTCCCAAACTGAAACTCCATCCCCATGAAACACTCATTCCTCATCCCCCTCCTCAAGCCTCTGGCACCCACCATTCTACTTTCTGTCTCTGTGAATCTGATGATTCTGAGGACCTCCTATGAATGGAGGAATCATATGGTATATGTCCTGGTTTATACTGTATGGCTGGCTTATTTCACCAAGCATAATGTCCTCAAAGTTCATCCATGTTGTAGCATGTGTCAGAATTCCCTTCCTTTTCCACTTGTATGTAAATGCTGTATTGTGTTTCTCCATTCATTAGGACTTTGATTTTTGCAGGGAGTTGTCAAGGGGTGCTGGGTTCTGGGGCTTCAATATAATAAGAGTAAGCTAAACTGGTTCATTTCCTCCTTCGTGGAGACCATGTTCTGGTAGGAACAGGAACAAATAATTTATGATTACATAGAGGGTGACCAGGGCAGTGACAGGGGAAGAGTGGAGGATTGTGGGACCCAGAGGAGGCTCCTGACCTTGCCTAGGAAGATAGGAGGAGGAAGAGGAGGAGGAAGAGGAGGAGGAAGAGGAGGAGGAGGAGGAGGAGGGAGTCCTCTAAGCTGAGACCTGGAGGATGACCAGGAAGTTATCCAGGTAAGGAGAAATGGGGAGAAGCTTCCAGACAAAAGTAACAGCAATTGCAAAGATCCTGAGATGATAGATAAGGTCAGGTGGAGAAAGTGCAAACTGTCAATGAGACCAAAATATGGACTGTGAGTTGTGCAGTGACCACAAGTGGAGAGGTGCTAGGTGGCCTTCATCCCCCAAAGCTGCACCTCTCCCTCCTCAGGTCTGTGAAGAACGGTGCTGAGACACGGGTGGACCTCCTCTGCACCTACCTGCAGCCCCTCAGCGGCCCAGGTCTGCCTATCAAGCAGGTGTTCCATGAGCTGAGCCAGCAGACCCATGGCATCACCCGGCTGGGCCCCTACTCTCTGGACAAAGACAGCCTCTACCTTAACGGTGAGCAGCTATCAGCCCCATCTCCCTGCCCCACCCCCCAGCCCCCACTGCAGTCCAGGAGGGTGTCTGTTTGCCGGTTCTCTAGGGAAAGACTTGGGGTTCAAGTCTTGGCATTACCACTGGCCCTCCCATAACCACAATGCAAGGTTGGACTTTGATTAATCCCATTTTACAGATGAAGAAACTGAGGCTTAGACAGGCTAAGCAATTTACCTTGACAGTGGTGGAACCAGGATATGAACTCCACTTGTCAGCATTCGGTGCTATGATCCACTCCACATGTTTAACTCACAGAAGAGTCTTCCTGGTGGGGGCACTTGGGGGACAAAAAACACATTTCCGGCTGTGAGCAGTGGCTCACACCTGTAATCCCAGCACTTTGGGAGGCCAAGGCGGGCGGATCACAAGGTCAAGAGATTGAGACCACCCTGGACAACATAGTGAAACCCTGTCTCTACTAAAAATACAAAAATTAGCTGGGTGTGGTGGCGCACGCCTGTAGTCCCACCTACTCGGGAGGCTGAGGCAGGAGAATCGCTTGAACCCAGAAGGCAGAGGTTGCAGTGAGCCAAAATTGTGCCATTGCACTCCAGCCTGGTGACAGAGCAAGACTCTGTCTCAAAACAAAACAAAACAATTTCCCCTCCCTGCTTTCTTCTCACCATTGACGAGGGATGGGCTTCTCTCCTACCTGAGGCCCCCTATACCAGGAAGATCTATGGGATCTAATCTTCAGGCACACTGGGCCTCAGCATTGGTCTAGAACTCAGGATAAGATAGCATTTAAGAAGGCATCCCCTAAATGGGGTTCTGAGAGGCAAAGCATGACCGTGGAGAATTGACAAAATAGCTCGCCTTTCATCCCCTCCACCGCCAACCCAAGAACAGTGCTTATCATCATGACCCCATGAGGTGGGCACCCCATATCACTTATATGAGGTACCTTTAGGTAGGTACCGGGATGTGGAGAGACATCCTGGGCTTTCATTACTCTTATTTTAGCAAAGAGGGAAACTGAGGCACAGAGAAGGGAAGGGACTTGCCCATGCCCACAGCGAGTTTTTGGCTAGTCTGGGTCTTGATGTTCTTTATTATTATTATTACTATCCTCCTCATGATCATCGTTGTATGTATACAGTTATGGGGTACAAGTGCAATTTTGTTACATGCATAGATGGCACAGTAGTGAAGTCAGAGCTTTCAGAGTATCCACCACTCCAATAACATACATTGTATCCATTTAGTCCTTTCTCATCATCCACCTTGCTCCTACCCCCTCACCCTTCCAAGCCCCCTTTATCTATCATTCCCCTCTCTGAGTTCTTGTCTACACATTGTTTAGCTCCCACTTATGATTGAGAACATGTGATATTTGTCTGTCTGTGTCTGACTTGTTTCACTTAAGGTAACTTCAGTTTCATCCATGTTGCTGCAAAAGACATGGATTCATTCTTTTTTTCTAACTTTTAAGTTCAGACATACACGTGCAGATTTTCTATATGGTTAAACTCATGTCACAGGGGTTTGTTGTACAGATTATTTCATCACCACCCAAGTATTAAGCCTAGTACCCATTAGTTATTTTTTCTGATCCTCTCCCTCCTCCCACCCTCCACCCGCCACCCGCCACCCTCCAACCTCAGGCAGGCCCCAGTGTGTGTTGTTCCCCTCTATGTGTCCATGTGTTCTCATCATTTAGCTCCCACTTATAAGTGAGAAGAGGCAGTATTTGGTTTTCTGTTCCTGCATTAGTTTGGTAAGGATAATGACCTCCAGCTCCAACCATGTTCCTGCAACGGACATGATCTCATTCTTTTTTATAGCTGCATAGTATTCCATGGTGTATATGTTCCTCATTTTCTTTATCCAGTCTATCCTTGATGGGCATTTAAGTAGATTCCATGTCTTTGCTATTGTGAATAGTGCTTCAGTGAACAGGTGTCTTTATGATAGAAAAATTTATATGCCTTTGGGCATATATGCAGTGATGAGATTGCTGGGTCAGACGGTAGTTCTGTTTTTAGCTCTTTGAGGAATCATCCTGCTGCTTTCTACAGTGGATGAACTAATTTACACTCCCACCAACAGTGTATAAACACTCCTTTTTATCTGCAACCTCAGCAGCATGGTTTTATTTCTCTTTATGGCTGAATAGTGTTCCATTGTGCATATATACCACACTTTCTTTATGGATTCATCTGCTGATGGACATATAGGTTGATTCCACATCTCTGCTATTGTGAATAGTGCTGTGATAAACACACAGGTGCGGGTTGGGTCTTGATGATCTCAGTTAACATCCAGTCCCTTCAACTTGGCTATTGCAGGGAGCTGTTCCCCCTTGTAAACTGCACAGCTTATGTGCTTCATTTTGTTCCTTCATTTAGATTTACCAAGCAGCTACTATTAACCAGGCCACAATGTGCCTCGCCCCAGGAACAGAGATAGGTTACATGTGCATCCTGTCCTAATGTAATCTCCAGGGGGGCGGAGACTGTTTTGTTCTACCCTATATTCCCCAAATGTAAAGGGAGCCTTGCACATACTAAGCCCTTAATAAACATTCATTGGGTGGAGGAATAGATTGGAGGAGGCCTGGAAGGGGAGGCGGGGGTTATGGATGGATAGGAGGATAGACTTGTGAACACAAAGGTAGTGAGAGCCTCTCATTGGAGGCATGCTGGAGACGTGAGTAGGGAAGGGTCAGTGCTAATTGAAATATCAGGAAATTCTTTCTAGTGGTGAACACATTTAAGTCAAATATTAGATGATACATAAATGTATCCATAATCTCTAGATACACAAAGGGAAAGGCATCCAGGCAGGGGCCCCATATGGACAAAGGCATGGAGTATCTGGGACGGTTCCACCACCTCCTCTTACGTGTGACTTCTTTGTTTCAAGGTTACAATGAACCTGGTCCAGATGAGCCTCCTACAAGTACGTGTCTTTGAATCTAGTGCCCATTTCAATCTCCATGGGTCTTGGTTCAAGCTTTTCTCCTCATTCATGAAGGAAGGTTGCCCCAAATTCGGGCTGGTCCCCTGAGGTGGTGAGGGGCATTGTCTCAGTGGGAGGAAGAATGCTGAGTCCTTGGCCTGTTTTTAGACCTGCAGCCATAGTCTTGGCTTTGTGAATTTTCCATGTCCCTCTGGGTTGGAGGAAGAAGTTTGAACAAGCATTCCCTACAGGGATAGAGGTTGAGGTCAGATGATGACCTTGTTAGTCTGTACCTCCTGATAAGAAAATCTCCTCCAAGTGCCCCAGCAGAGGCTTCATGGTCAAGCTGCAGACTCTGCTGGCTACTGGTTTTGGCTAAATTTGCCCATTGCCTCATCCAGTGATCCACTCGTCTATCTTTCCAGCCATCCATTTTTCTATCCTTCCAGTCATCTCTCAGACACCACCTGTCCTTCCATCCATCCATCCGTCCATCCATTTACCCATCCATCCATCCACCCCATTTTCCTGACCATTTACCTCCTCGTCCTTCCTTCCATCTGTCCTTTTATCCATCTATTCATCCATCACCCATCCTCCTGCCCATTCACCTGCTTGTCCCTCCTTTCTTCTGTCCTTCTATACATCCATCCATCCATCCATCCATCCATCCACCCATCCACTCATCCACCACCCACCCATCCTTCTGCCCACTCACTCGCTAGCCCCTCCTTCCTTCTGTCCTTCCATCCATCCATCCACCCATCTTCCTGCCCATTCACCTGCTTGTCCTTCCTTCTATCTGTCTTTTATCCATCTCTCCATCCATCCACCATCCATCCATCCATCCTTCTCCCTATTCACTGGTTTGTCTTTCCTTCTGTCCTTCCAACCATCCACCCATCTCTCCATTCATTCTCCTCTTCATTCACCTGTTTCCTTATTTCTGTCTTTCCATCCATCCATCTATCCAGCCAGCCATCTCTCCCCCCATTCTCCTCCCCATTCACTCAATTGTCCTTCCTTCCATCTGTCCTTTTATCCATCCATCCACCCATCCATCCATCCATCTATCCTTCTCCCCATTCACCTGTTTGTCCTTCTTTCTGTCCTTCCAACCATCCATCCATCCATCATCCATCCATCTATCCTTTTCCCCATTCACCTGTTTGTCCTTCCTTCTGTCCTTCCAACCATCCCTCCATCTCTCCATCCATCCTCCTGCCTATTCATCTGCTTGTCTTTCCTTCCTTCTGTCCTTCCATCCATTCATCCATCTGCCCATCCACCCACTCATCCTCTTGCCCATTCACCTGCTTGTCCTTCCTTCCACCTGTCCTTTTATCCATCCATCCATCCATCCATCTTGCTCACTCCTCCACTCACACAATCACTCCTTCCCTCAGTCTCATTTATGGCCCACCTGTGAATGGTTGTCCTGGCTTGGACCACTGATGAAGCCCAGGGGAGCTTCTCCCACTAGGTGGTGGGCTTTTGTCCTCTCTGATGGACTGTTCCTTCCACAGCTCCCAAGCCAGCCACCACATTCCTGCCTCCTCTGTCAGAAGCCACAACAGGTATTTGGGGCCATTTTTCCTCCTCGAAGATTAGAATAGCATTTCAATCAGACACCTGCCCTCGTGGAGTCCCAGATTTTATGAAATAAATAGACCATCATAATGTCAGATGTTTTGGGGTGAGATACCTGGCATAGTTGGGAAGGAGGAGGGCTTTCTGGAGAAAGTTTCACCTGAACTGAGTCTTTAAGGATGACTAAGAGTGATTCAGGCAAATAGGGCATGAATAGTATAACTGAAAGAGGGGAATCTGTGAGCAAAGCCTCAGTGGCCAGAAACAGCATAGAGTATAGGGAGAAGTGAGAGAAATTTGGTTTGCATGAAACATAAAGCTTAACCCAGAGTGGATGGATAAGTGAGACTGAAAGGTCAGCAGGAGCCAGATTGGGAAGGGCCTTGAATGCCAAGTCAAGAAATTTGAACTTAACACTGAAGGCCATAGGGAGCTGTG
Source organism: Homo sapiens (assembly GCF_000001405.40). Taxonomy (NCBI): domain Eukaryota; kingdom Metazoa; phylum Chordata; class Mammalia; order Primates; family Hominidae; genus Homo; species Homo sapiens. The sequence goes on along the minus strand of NW_025791807.1, from coordinate 101,455 downwards.
GATGGTACTAGAGCAGGGGCAGCCATAGTGAGATTGTCATTTCAGAAAGATTCTTCTTGTGTTCAGTATAGAGAATGTCCTTTAGACAGGGCATCCAGTGAGTCTGCCAGGTGCTAATCAGGGTGAGAGAAAATAAGACCTGAACTGGGATAGGGGAGGAGAGAGAGGATATATGTGATGAATATTCAGTAAAGAGAATTGGTGTTACTTGGAGGGGAGAAGACACATAGCTTCTGACTTGGATGGCCACACTAGTTAATAATGAGCGCAGTCTGATCTAGTCTCAGACCAGCCCTCAGTTGCAGACGTCTCTCCTCCCCTCCTGCAGCCATGGGGTACCACCTGAAGACCCTCACACTCAACTTCACCATCTCCAATCTCCAGTATTCACCAGATATGGGCAAGGGCTCAGCTACATTCAACTCCACCGAGGGGGTCCTTCAGCACCTGGTGAGACCCTGGTCCCAGCAGCTCCTGGTGGGATAAATCCTACCCCCAACCTCTGTTCCTCGGCTTACCCTCTTCCTCCTTCCTCTCAAGCTCAGACCCTTGTTCCAGAAGAGCAGCATGGGCCCCTTCTACTTGGGTTGCCAACTGATCTCCCTCAGGTGAGACCACTTCCTGGCCATTTGCCAGTAACAACCACCCCTTTTGTGACCACCCCTTCCTCAGCTTTCCCCTGCTCCTCCCTCCACTGCTCTTTACCTGCAGAGGTCTCGGGACCTCTCTAGAGTCCTCAAATGCCTCTCTCCCCAGGCCTGAGAAGGATGGGGCAGCCACTGGTGTGGACACCACCTGCACCTACCACCCTGACCCTGTGGGCCCCGGGCTGGACATACAGCAGCTTTACTGGGAGCTGAGTCAGCTGACCCATGGTGTCACCCAACTGGGCTTCTATGTCCTGGACAGGGATAGCCTCTTCATCAATGGTGAGTGTCAGGCTGAACTTGGATTTACAGTGACTTTTGGGGAGTTGGTTTCTTTGTTTTTGAGATGGAGTCTCACTCTATCACCCAGGCTGGAGTGCAATGGTGCAATCTTGGCTCTGCAACAGTGATTCTCCTGCCTCAGCCTCCCAAGTAGCTGGGATTTACAGGTGCATGCCACCACGCTCAGCTAATTTTTGTATTTTTAGTAGAGATGGGGTTTCACCATGTTGCCCAGGCTGGTCTCGAACTCCTGACCTCAGGTGATCCACCTGCCTTGGCCTCCCAAAGTGCCAGGATTACAGGCATGAGCCACCATGCCCGGCCCACCATGACTATTATTTGTCCCTGTTGTATGCCCTTTCCTCTCTAAAAAAAATAGCCCAAGGCCTGGCTGGGGGACACCCTTCCCCAAACCACCAAGGGGAGGGTCTTTCCCATTATTTTGAGTAAATAGCATGAAATTCTTTGACCAAATTAATGTCATAAATTGTTTGTCTCTTTCTCCTTCACTTTTGTTTCCAACTTGGTTGCGGTATAACTATCAAATACAATTGTATGTATTTAAGATGTATAATGCAGTGATTTAATATATGTGTAGCTTATGAAATGATTACCATGATCAAATTAGTTAACACTGCTTTCATGTCACATAGTTACCGTGTGTCTGTGTGCGTCTGTGTGAGTTAGAGAGAAAGAGAACATTTAAGGTCTACCCTCATAGAAAATTTCAGGTTTACAATACAGTATTATTAACTATAATCATCAAGCTTTATACTCGATCCCCAGAACTTATTCATCTTGTAACTAAAAGTTTGTATTTTGTGACCAACATCTCCCCATTTTCTCTATCACCACCCCCATGCCCCCAGCCCCTGATAACCATCATGCTACTCTCTGCTTCTGTAAGTTTGACTTCTGATCCCACATATAAGTGAGATCATGCAGTATTTGTTTCTCTCTATCTGGTATATTTCACTTAGCATAATGAACCCCCCCCAGGTACATCCATAATGAATTTCAATTCAAAACCCAAGTGGCTGAGTCGTGGCATCCTTTGGGACAGGATAGCAGGTCCCTTCTATATAAGGATCCTCTGTGTCAGTGGTTATTACCAGGGGACAATTCTGCACTTCTGCCCCACCCCACCCCCCAACTGGGAGACTCTAGGCAATATCCGAAATCATTTTTGGGTATCACAACTCAGGGAGGGAAGGAGGGTGCAACTGGCACCTAGTGGGTCGGTAGCCCATTTTCCAGTGCACAGGAGACAACCACCCCAGGGAATGATCCAGCCCCAAATGCCAATAATTTCAAGGGTGAGAAATCCTGTTGTACATGGTCTCAAAGTTCTTAGGTGGGCACAAGGCTGACATTTATCACACTTTACTGTAATTACTTGTTAAATTATCTGATTCCCCCTTACCCTGTGAACTCAACAAAATTACGGTCTATTATGAGTGCCACTGTACCCTCGGTTCGCAGTACATCAGCACATCATAGTATGGAAAGAATCATTGAATGAGTGAGCAAATTAAAGATTTGTGTCTCTGCTGTAACTCACATTCATTAATTCATTCATTCAGCAAACATATATGGGTGGCTGTTCTGCCCCAAGCCTTGTACTGGGTCTGGAGATAGAAGACACATTTTTCTGTCTCTGAAAAACTCATACTCAAGTTAACAACAAATTACGGGCACAACAAAGACCCCACTGCTGTTATTAACAGGGTACTATGGGAGCTGAGAGGAGGAGTAAATTAAGGAGGGCTTCCTGGAGGAGGGTGTTATATACCCGGCCCTGTGCCGGGACACAATAATGAATAAGACAGACTTGGGCCTCTGCTGTCCTGGAGCTCCCTCTCACTGGGCTCTTGAAGCGTGAGCAGGAGTTTTGCAGGAAATGAAAAGGATGCATTCCTAGAAGTGGGAACTGCATAGCACATGCAGGAAAGCTCAGCTCAGAAGAATCTGTGTAATATTCCATTTTTCCCTCTCTTTGGGGCAACTTTCTGTCTAAGAGCTCCTGCAATGCCCAGCGTGTGGACCTGAAATTGATTCTGACAGTAGGCAGGGGACTGCTGGGCAACTTTGGCTCTGCATTTTGTGATCAACATTTCCCCACCATATGTTGCCTTTTCTTCTTCTCTGTGGCTCCAGGCTATGCACCCCAGAATTTATCAATCCGGGGCGAGTACCAGATAAATTTCCACATTGTCAACTGGAACCTCAGTAATCCAGACCCCACATCCTCAGAGTACATCACCCTGCTGAGGGACATCCAGGACAAGGTGGGGCATCTCTCACCCCTCCCGTCTTCTCTGTCCTGTGTGCTTCTCTCCCTCTTCTACCTGATTTCTCTGTTAAGTGATCACTTTAAATGCTTCACTTCACTATGTATTCTGGGTTCTCTCTCAGTTTCCAAAAGTACTCTCTTGACTACCATTCCCATTTCACAGATGGGCAAACTGAGGCTCAGAAAGGGGCGTGGTGTGCCTAGGGTCATACAGTGCTTTAGGAACAGAGTTAGGATTTGAACTCTGGTCCCCTTTGCTCCAAGTCCTGTGTTTTTTTCCACTGGCATCAGCGGCCCCTCCACCCCCAAGAGGCCTCCATCTCACCCACTCTCCCTACCCATCTTTCTAGGTCACCACACTCTACAAAGGCAGTCAACTACATGACACATTCCGCTTCTGCCTGGTCACCAACTTGACGTAAGTTCTGAAGGTCATAAGCAGTGACCAAGCTTGTGGCTGTGTCTCTGAGCACCCTTGAGCTAGACGTCCCCAGTGGGGTACCCATTCTCCCCTACATCCCTGTCTAGCTAATCCTACCATCTCCTCCCATAAATCCTCAAGGTAGGGAGTGAGGATTAACCTCATGGGGCCACCAACTCCCAGCATACACCTTCTTTTTTTTCTGGACACTTGGGAAAATATAACTTTTTGATGTAGAACTCAAAATATTAGCCCAATAATAATATTTAACATCAACCAGCCTCCTCTCATTTAATTCTCACAACAGAATCTATGAGTTGAGTGCAAAAATCATCCCTATTGTGCAGATGGGAAAACTGAGGGTCAGAAAAGTGAACTTCCCAAGAACTGTCAAAGTTGGGATTTGAACCCAGGTCTCTGATGACTGGATGAAGGAATGAAGATACCTATACTTGGGAAGAGGAGGGTCACAGGACACAGGGCTGACTTTGTATATTTCTAAACTTCAAAGATTTTTGTATTTCAGCTGGGAATATGGAGAAGGTTAATTGGAACAAAAAAATGCAAAGAATGAATAAGACCTAGTATTTGCTAGCACAACAGGGTGACTGTAGTCAAAAATAACTTCACTGTACATTTTAAAATATAACTAAAGGTGTATGCTTGGATTGTTTGCAACACAAAGGATATATGCTTGAGGGGATGGATACCCCATTTACCCTGATGATTATTATGCATTACATGCTTGTATCAAAACATCTCATATACCCCATAAATATAAAAACACCTACTATGTACCCCAAAAAATTAAAAACAAATAAAATCAAAAGTAGGCTGGGCACAGTGGCTCATGCCTGTAATCCCAGCACTTTGGGAGGCCAGGGCAGGTGGATCTCTTGAGCCCAGAAGTTCAAGACCAGCGAGGGCAACATAGGGAGTCCTAGTCTCTACAAAAAATACAAAAATTAGCCAGGCATGGTGGCACACACCTGTAGTCCCAGCCACTCAGGAAGCTGAGGTGGGAGGATCGCCTGAGCCTAGGAGGCTGTACTCCAGCCTGGGTGACAGAGCGAGACTCTATCTCAAAAAATAAAATAAAATAATAAAAAGTAGAAATCAAGAGGGAAAATGTGGGAGAAATTGGGATAATTTTAACAATACCTTCCACCAGAGTGATGATGAAGAATGCATAAGTCACTTCTTAGTGGTCTTGATCTATAAAAAGTGTTCAATAAATATCGATTATTGTTACTGTTATTGCTTCTAGACGTAATTCCTGGAAGCATTTTTTTTTTTTTTTTTTTTGAGATGGAGTCATGCTCTGTTGCTCAGGCTGGAGTGCAGTGGTATGATCTCGGCTCACTACAACTGCCTCCTGGGTTCAAGCAATTCTCCTGCCTCAGCCCCCCATGTAGCAGGGACTACAGGCATGCGCCACCACACCCGGTGAAGTTTTGTATTTTTATTAGAGACAGGGTTTTGCCATGTTGGTCAGGCTGGTCTCGAACTCCTGACCTCAGGCAATTTGCCTGCCTCGGCCTCCCAAAGTGCTGAGATTACAGGCTTGGGCCACTGCATCCAGCCGAAGGCCTCCCATTTTGATCAGAACCCTTCTCTAGACTGAGGGTGGGTGCCTCTAGATCTTTTGCTCTTTAAAGACAGCAACCGATGACCCTGCTGATGCTGAGTACTGGCTGAATTCCTGTGGTCTCTGTCCCTAGGATGGACTCCGTGTTGGTCACTGTCAAGGCATTGTTCTCCTCCAATTTGGACCCCAGCCTGGTGGAGCAAGTCTTTCTAGATAAGACCCTGAATGCCTCATTCCATTGGCTGGGCTCCACCTACCAGTTGGTGGACATCCATGTGACAGGTACAAGGTGGGGTGGCTGGTTTCCTAACTGGAAGAGGTGGGGTTATGAGGAAAGATGGGGCTTCTCGGTACCAGTGGAATTGGTGGAGGCTCTAGAGAGGGAAAGGGAGGCTTTCTGGAGACCCATGTAGGTGACCTCTGGCAGTAGATCATCCAACGAGGCAGGAACAGAACACCAGCCATTGCATCTAAGAGAATAGCTATTTTTACATGTAAAAAGAATTGTGTTGAATGAATGAATCAATAGATCATTTATTTTGAATCAATTTATTGATTCATTCATTTAATTAATGAATAATAAATGATTCAGTACATAATTGATTAATTGATGTAATTGAGAATTGATTTAATTGATTAATTGATCAATTAAAATGATCAATTAAATGAATGAATCAGTAAATGAATAATTCATTCATTCAATAAACAATGGAAGTAGGCCGGGCATGGTGGCTCACGCCTGTAATACCAGTACTTTGGGAGGCCCAGGCAGGCAGATCACGAGGTCAGGAGATTGAGACCATCCTGGCTAACACGGTGAAACCCTGTCTCTACTAAAAATACAAAAAAAATTAGCCAGGCATGGTGGTGGCCACCTGTAGTCGCAGCTACTCGGGAGGCTGAGGCAGGAGAATGGCGTGAACCCGGGAGGCAGAGCTTGCAGTGAGCCGAGATCGCGCCACTGCACTCCAGCCTGGGCGACAGATGGAGACTCTGTCTCAAAAATAAATAAATAAATAAAAATAAAAAATAAATAAACAATGGAAGTAAACACGTACTGATAACACAGTGTGATCATTGCTATGATAAGGGAATTTCAGGGGCCTGTGGGAGCCCCAAGGAGGAACACACAACCTTGTCTTGGAAAGTTTTATGTAGGAAGGGGTGAAGAAGCTGAGATCTGACAGAGAATGGGACCTAGCCAGGGGTAATAGATGGAGAATTGTGCTCCATGCATCTATAACCTAGAAGATAGAAAGAATATGGCATCTGGCCGGGTGCGGTGGCTCACGCCTGTAGTCCCAGCACTTTCAGAGGCTGAGATGGGTGGATCACCTGAGGTCAGGAGTTCAAGACCAGCCTGACCAATATGATGAAACCCCATCTCTGCTAAAAATACAAAAATTAGCCAGGCATGGTGGTGCGTGCCTGTAATCCCAGCCACTTGGGAGGCTGAGAGAGGAGAACTGCTTGAACTCGGGAGGCGGAGGTTGCAGTGAGCCGAGATTGTGCCATTGCACTCAAGCCTGGGCAAAAAGAGCAAAACTGCATTTCAAAAAAAAAAAAAGTGGCATTTTGGGGCAAGTTTAAGAAGATTGGTGTAGCTGGAGCATCCACTTTGATACTGGAGAGGTGACAGTTGAAGCCAAAGATGTGGGCAGAGACTTTGTTGGGCACTGGAATGGCTTGGGGAGGAACATGACACACTCATGAGTTCTGCTTTAGAAAGAAAATGAAATGAATTCTGCTCATCCTCTGGGTGCTGTGTGCAGAATGGAGGGTGGGGGGAGAGAAGAGCAAAGGCAAGAAGACCCTTTAGGAACAATGATCATTAGTTAGAAGACTCTGGGTTTCTCAGCACCTGCAATTGCTGACTACACCCCCAGAGAAACCCAGTCTCTTTTCCCCCATGTTGTAGAGAATTCTTACAATGCTTGGTAGAAAGAGAATTGAACAGGTAGATGGGTGGATGGATACAAGCTGGACAGATGGATGGAGGAAGATCCTCCATCCAATATAGAGCTGTTACCTAAAACCCTCCATCCCACCTTTAAAATCCTAGCTCAGCCAGGCGCGGTGGCTCACACCTGTAATCCCAGCACTTTGGGAGGCCAAGGCGGGTGGATCACCTGAGGTCGGGGGTTCGAGACCAGTCTGACCAACATGGAGAAACCCTGTCTCTATTAAAAATACAAAAAAAAAAAAAAGTTAGCCAGGCAGGGTGGCGCATGCCTGTAATCCCGCTACTCGGGAGGCTGAGGCAGGAGAATGGCTTGCACCCAGGAGGTGGAGGTTGTGGTGAGCCAAGATCACGCCATTACACTCCAGCCTGGGCAAAGAGAGTGAAACTGTCTCAAAAAACAAAACAAATGACCCCCCTGCCAAAAAAAAAAAAAAAAAAAAAGAAAAGAAAAAAAGAAAAGCCTAGCTCAGCTCACACTGTCAGGAATAAGTAAGCTAGCTGGAATCATCTCTTTCTTAAAACCCTGCCTTGATAGTGGATTTTTACATACTTTTTTTTTAATTCTAGAAATGGAGTCATCAGTTTATCAACCAACAAGCAGCTCCAGCACCCAGCACTTCTACCTGAATTTCACCATCACCAACCTACCATATTCCCAGGACAAAGCCCAGCCAGGCACCACCAATTACCAGAGGAACAAAAGGAATATTGAGGATGCGGTGAGAAGGGGGTGGTATGTCCACTCTGTTGCCATGCAGAAACTGACTTATGCATACTGGGTAGCCACAGGGTGACTTTTTATAACAATCCACAAAGACAGGTTCTTATTCCCATTTAATACACAAGCACAGAGAGGTTCAGTAGCTGACCCAAGGTCACACAGCTAAGTCATACCCTAGAAGAGCATGTCCTTTGATATACATACCTGGGCAAGTGGTTGTCATGACAAGAAGCAAAATAGACGGAGAAGTGTGCTCAGTGGCTGAAAATTCTCTGATGCTACTGGGGCCAGGATTCTGACCTAAGAAACATCGCCCTGTCTTTCAGCTCAACCAACTCTTCCGAAACAGCAGCATCAAGAGTTATTTTTCTGACTGTCAAGTTTCAACATTCAGGTAAGTTCTAACTCAGGACCTAATGACTCTAGGAACTTCTGCTGTCCTTTAAATAGAAGTGTCCCCAAGCCATAGCTTTGATGGAAGAGAGCCCTAGAAATAGAGAGCTGTTAACTAAAAACTAGCTTTTTCCTAAAGCTGGAGCCCAACTGGCTTCAACACTCAAGAGAGCTGGTGTAAATCTCAGCAGACATAAAGGTACCTGGTGCTGAGGCCATGGAGTCTAGAGTGTAGAATCTACTACATTAAGACATCAGCTACTGAAATCAGGACCCATGGAAGACGGGGGAAGGAGGGGACTAAAACCAGATTACTTAGAATCTAGCAGCCTAACTGTGCTTTTCAATGAGAGGTATCATTTCCAATGGTGGGGGGTACCAATGATTTTTTTTTTTTGACAACTGCCTTGAGAACAGGCTTTCCTCACTAAACAAATTCTGAATCAGAACAAATAAAGATAAGCCCTGAGAATAGGGCTTTTTCAAGGAGCTGCCAAACAGATCAAATAGTGACTATGTTCTGCAGATTGATGTCTGGAGAACTCTACAGCTATTTTGACTGCTAGGCAGCTGGTTTTCACAGATATCATGATTCTGAGGCTGCCAGTTTTCAAAGTTACCGAGGATCTTGCTGGATGCAGTGGCTTGCGACTGTAATCCCAGCCCTTTGGGAGGCCAAGGTGGGTAGATCGCTTGAGCTCAGGAGTTTGAGACCAGCCTGGGCAATATGGTGAAAACCCATCTCTACAAAAAATACAAAAATCAGCTGAGCATAGTGGCATGTGCTGTAGTCCCAGTTACTTAGGAGGCTGAGGTGGGAGGATGGCTTGAGCCCAGGAGGCAGAGGTTGCAGTGAGCTGACATTGTGCCATGCACTCTAGCCTGGGCAACAGAGCCAAAGCCTGTCTCAAAAAAAAAAAAACAAATAATAATAATAATAAAATACTGAGGATCTTGAAAGAGCACTGTGGAAATAATGCAAGTTAAAATGCCACAAAGCTTGCTCTTTTTACTGAGATTTAACACTTTCCTTAACTAAACACCCCTCGAATTTTTGCAAGCCTTTGGTTCACTTCTAGACTTCTGGAAAAATTGATTTGGACTATTTTGGCCAATGTTCTCATTGATTTTATGGGTATTCAGAAGTTGTTACCCCAACATTCCAGAAATGTTCTCCCTGTGGCTATTACTTTATTTATTTATTTATTTATTTATTTATTTATTTATTTGAGACGGAGTCTCCCTCTGTTGCCCAGGCTGGAGTGCAGTGGCGCAATCTCAGCTCACTGCAACCTCCGCTTCCCAGGTTCAAGCGATTCTCCTGCCTCAGCCTCCCAAGTAGCTGGGATTATGGATGTGCACCACCACACCGGCTAATTTTTGTGTTTTTAGTAGAGATGGGGTTTCACTGTGTTGGCCAGGCTGGTCTCGAACTCCTGATCTCAAGTGATCCACCCGCCTTGGCCTCCCAAAGTGCTGGGATAACAGGCATGAGCCACTGTGCCTGACCTCCCTGTGGCTATTTTTAAATGAATTAAGTGGAATAAAATTAGAAATTCAGTTCTTCTCCCACGCTAGCTGCATTTTAAGCATTTAATAACAACATGAAGCTACTAATGGCTGCATTGTGTAGTGCAGATGTAGAATTTTTTTTTTGTTTTTTGTTTTGTTTTTGAGATGGAGTCTCGCTCTGTCACCAGGCTAGAGTGCAGTGGCGTGATCTCGTCTCACTGCAATCTCTACTCCCCGATTCAAGTGATTCTCCTGCCTCAGCCTCCCAAGTAGCTGGGATTACAGGCACGTGCCACCACACCCAGCTAATATTTGTATGGATGGTCTCAATCTCCTGACCTCGTGATTTGTATGGATGGTCTCGATCTGACCTCATGATCCGCCTGCCTGGGCCTCCCAAAGTGCTGGGATTACAGGCGTGAGCCACTGTGCCCGGCCGACATAGAATGTTTACATCATTGCAGAAAGTTTCTGCAGGAAGAGCCTAGAAGGAGAAAGCCTAGAATCATGATAAAATTGCAGATATCTTTGCTTATCCCTGTCCCCTTCCAGGTCTGTCCCCAACAGGCACCACACCGGGGTGGACTCCCTGTGTAACTTCTCGCCACTGGCTCGGAGAGTAGACAGAGTTGCCATCTATGAGGAATTTCTGCGGATGACCCGGAATGGTACCCAGCTGCAGAACTTCACCCTGGACAGGAGCAGTGTCCTTGTGGATGGTAAAGCTCCCTGGGTCATTGGGACTGAGGTGGAAGCTCCCACTTCCTCACCTGGGTCCTTCCCTGGGAATCTGAAGGCTTGGGGTTGATTCGTCATCGAGCTTTCTCAGACTGGGAGAAAGTGGCTTAGTTCTCCTAAGCTTTACCCATCATTGAAGGAAAGAAAAGGACGCCCGAGGGATATGGGAGGCATTTGCCCTCTTCTGGCCAGCTCTGTGACCTCAGGCTAGTCACATCTCCTTTCTGGACTTCTTATCTCTCTGTACTTAGCAAGCCACTTGGTTTTTGGTTCCCATCTTGCCTGCCCTAGATGGTATTGCTCCTCCACCCCCAGGCAGCTGCAGTGTTAAACAATTACCCTGATTAGTTATTGTTGTTGTGTTGTTTGTTTGTTTTTGAGACAGGGTCTCACTCTGTCACCTAGGCTGGAGTGCAGTGACATGATCTCAGCTCACTGCAACCTCAACCCCTGGACTCAAGCAATCCACCCACTTCAGCCTCCCAAGTAACTGGGACTACAGCCATGCGCCACCACACCCGGATAATTTTTGTATTTTTTCTAGAGATGGGGTTTTGCAACATTGCCCAGGCTGGTCTTGAACTCCTGAGCTCAAGCATGCCACCTGCTTCAGCCTCCCAAAGTGCTGGGATTACAGGCAGGCAGGCACCACTGCAGCTGGTTCTGGTTTTTTGTGTTTGTTTTTTTCTTTTAGAGGCAGGGTCTCGCTCTGTTAACCAGAATGGAGTACAGTGGTGCAATCATAGCTCACTGCAGTCTTGAACTCCTGGGCTCAAGCGATCCTCCCACCTCAGCCTCCTGAGTACCTGGAACTACAGGCACGTGTCACCACGCCTTGCTAATTTCTAAATTTTTTGTAGAGACAGGGTCTCACTATGTTGCCCAGACTGGTCTCTAATTCCTGGCCACAAGTGATCCTCCTGCCTCAGCAGGTCAATGAGGGCTTCCAGTTTCAAGTTGTATGTGATTCATCCTCAACAAATGTGGTAGGATGGACCTATTTTCCAACTCCAGAGATGGCTTCAAGGTGGCTCAACTTTGCATATCCAATTTTACCCATTCAAAGAATAGTTATATACATTGTACCATGTATCAGGAATATAACAGAGAGTAACTGTTTGCTCTTTCACCACTATATTCCAAGAACCCCATATTCTGCCTGGCACATAATAAACACTCAAGTCATATTTGCAGAAGGAATAACTAGATTTCATACAAGGTTCTTTTCAAGTCAAATGCGAATAACGTTTTAGACGGGACCTTCCAATGCCTGTGTGCACTGTCCTTGATTCCGAATTATTGTTGTGCAAGAGAGCACTGTTGATCCTTCAGAATCAACAAGCCTTTCACATGCCTGTCACAGGTTTTTCTTTTTCTTGTTTTACCAATTTTGTTTGTTGTTTGTTTGTTGTTATTGTTTTGTTTTGTTTTTGTTTTTTATTTGTTTTTATTTTTTCTTTTTTTTTGAGACAGAGTCTCGCTCTGTCACCCAGGCTGGAGTGCAGTGGCACGATCTCCGCCCACTGCAAGCTCCGCCTCCTGGGTTCATGCCATTTTCCTGCCTCAGCCTCCTGAGTAGCTGGGACTACAGGCGCCTGCCACCATGTCTGGCTAATTTTTTTTGTATTTTTAGTAGAAACAGGGTTTCACCATGTTGACCAGGATGGTCTCGATCTCCTGACCTCGTGATCTGCCCACCTGGGCCTCCCAAAGTGCTGGGATTACAGGCGTGAGCCACCACACCCAGCCCCAATTTTTTTTTTAATTAAAATTGTTGTCAGCTCACAAGCTTTCTAAAAACAGGCCATGGACCCAGCATCGCTGTAGTTTGCCAAACCTTGCCTTGAATCAGTACCATCCAATAGAACTTTCTGCAGTGATAGAAAATGTTTCTATCTGTGCTATTCAGCACAAAGCCATGTGTGATTACTAAGCTTGAAGTGTGGTTAATGTAACTGAGATACCGAAGTTTTAATTTTATTTAATTTTAATTTAAAAAGCCACTTGTGGCTGCTCCATATTGCACACTACTTTTTAAAATTATTATTTGTATATATTTAAGGGGCACAAGTACAATTTTGTTGCATGGATTTATAGCCCAGTGGGGAAGTCTGGGCTTTTAGGGTATCTATTACCTGAATAATGTACATTGTACCCATTGAGTAATTTCTCATCATCCACTCTCCTCCACTCCCCAACCCTTCCAAGTTTCCACTGTCTATTATTCCACTCTCTATGTCCATGCCTATGCATTATTTAGCATTGACATGTCTATGCATTATTTAGTCAAATACATGTGCTATTTGACTTCCTGTATCTGAGTTGTTTGACTTAAGATAATGACCTTCACTTGCATCCATGTTGCTGCAAAAGACATGATTTCATTCTTTTTTATGCCTGGGTGGTATTGCATTGTGTGTGTGTGTGTGTGTGTGTGTGTAGAGAGAGAGAGAGATCACATTTTCTTTATACAGTCCTCCATTGATGGGCACTTAGGTTGATTCCATATCTTTGCTATTGTGAATAGTTTTGTGATAAACACACAGGTTCAGGTGTCTTTTTGACAAAATTATTTATTTTCCTTTGTGTAGATACCCAGTCGTGGGATTCCTGGATCAAATGGTAGTTTCATTTTTAGTTATTTGAGAAATCTCCACGTTTTTCATAGAGATTATACTAAATTACATTCCCACCAACAGTGTGTAACGGTTCACTTTTCTTGCATCCTTTTTAACATCTGTTATTTTTTGTCTTTTTAGTAACAGCCATTCTGACTGGCGTAAGGTGGTATCTCATCATGGTTTTAATCTGTATTTCTCTGATTATTAGTAATGTCGAGCATTTTTTCATATGCTTGTTAGCCATTGGTATGTCTTCTACATCTTTAAGAAGCTGGCTATGGGCTGGGCGCAGTGGCTCACACCTGTAATCCCAGCACTTTGGGAGGCCGAGGCAGGCGGATCACGAGGTCAGGAGTTAAAAACCAGCCTGGCCAACATGGTAAAACCCTGCCTCTACTAAAAATACAAAAAATTACCCAGGCATGGTGGTGCGCCTGTAATCCCAGCTACTCAGGAAGCTGAGGCAGGAGAATCACTTGAACCCAGGAGGCGGAGGTTGCAGTGAGACGAGATCACATCATTGCACTCCAGCCTGGGTGACAGAGTGAGACTCTATCTTGAGAAAAAAAAAAAGTTGGCTATAACAGGGTTGTAGAAGTAGAGGAACCAGTAACCCTTCTCGCCATGCCTGATGATGGCTTTACATCCCTGTCTTCATGGAGTTTATGCTGTCGTGAGGAATAACAAGAACAGGCAGTTGTCAATTATAAATTATTTGATGTGAACCTATTCATACATGGGTGTGGTCATCAGGGAAGGCTTCCTGGAGGAAATGACATTGAAGGTGAATTCTAAAAGATGACGATAAAACCACCAAGTGAAGGAGAGCTTAAATGTGTTTTTAGGCAGAAGAAAAACCTTTTGGGTGAAAATTTTAAAACTTAGAGAGGTCCCATCAGTTTCCAACTGCGATGATCCATTCTCTCCACCACTGCCCTTGGGCCCAGCCCAATTTAGGTCCACCATGCCCAGAGGCATGAATTTAACTTATGACACTCTTGTGGTGGAATAATGGCTTTGGGCTTATGTAGCCATGTGTCATTTTTTTAGAGATACAAATTGAAATATTTGGGGTGAGATGTCATGGTGTCTACTGGCCTCTAAAACTTCAGTGAAAACATTTACTTTCACTGAAATGTCAATAAATCATAAATTGGATGTATATGTTTTAGTTGGAGGAAATATAAACCACTAAATCTAGGTGATGCATATTTATTATACTCTTCTCTCTGCTTTTTTGTACGCTTGTAAAATTGTATTTAAAAGAATAAGACACACTTGGCCGGGCGCGGTGGCTCACGCCTGTAATCCCAGCACTTTGGGAGACCGAGGTGGGTGGATCATGAGGTCAGGAGTTCAAGACCAGCCTGGCCAACATGGTAAAACTCCATCACTACATACAAAAATTAGCCAGGCATTTTGGCGGGCACCTGTAATCTCAGCTACTTGGGAGGCTGAAGCAGGAGAATTGCTTGAACCCGGGAAGCAGAGGTTGCAGTGAGCCAAGATCACGCCACTGCACTCTAGCCTGGGCAACAGAGCAAGACTCCATCTCCAGAAAAAAAAAAAAAAAAAGACACACTCACATGCACCCTCCATTTCTTTCATTTCTAGGGTATTCTCCCAACAGAAATGAGCCCTTAACTGGGAATTCTGGTAAGTCTCAAAGAAGCCCCAGCCCAGGGTAGGGAGGGGGTAGCCTGATGGTGCTTTGCCTTGTCCAAGAGCACCAGGCACACAGAGTCTTGGATGAGGATCAAAATTGCCAACCCATGGCAAAGACTATTGAGGCATAGTAAAGGGATAGCAGGGATCCTGGCTTTCTGGGGGCCCAGTTTTTGGGGGCATCAGAGGCATGAGGTGTTGAGCCACTAAGCTCTCTTCCCCAGGGCTGTGCCCATCCTCAGGCCACATAGGGTCCAAGAAGGAGCCCTGGGACGTGGCAGGAGGTGGCTCACCCCAGCCCTTGTCTCCCCAGACCTTCCCTTCTGGGCTGTCATCCTCATCGGCTTGGCAGGACTCCTGGGAGTCATCACATGCCTGATCTGCGGTGTCCTGGTGAGCAAGGAAGGGTTGCTTGTCTTCTTAACAATTGGGTTGTAAGAGTTCTTAATATATTATAAAACCATACTATACTATACACAAGTCCTTTGCTGGATATATGTTTTGCAAATATTTTCTCCCAGTTCACGGAGTGGCTTTCCTATTTTCTTTTTATAATTTTATTTTTAATTAATTGACAAATAATGAATGCATATATTTAGGGGATACAATGTGATGCTTTGGTATATGTACAATTATGGAATGACTCAATCAAGCTAATTAATATGTCCCTCACCTCTCATACTTATTATTTCTTTGTGGTGTGAACATTGGCAACCTATACTCTTAGCAATTTTGAAATCTACATTATTATTAACTATAGTTACTATGTTATGCAGATCTCAAAAACTTCACAACCTATATGCTGATTACAAGATATTGAGAGAAAAAGTGATTGCAAAGAGTGTAAATAAAATAATGTAAGAGGGAAAAATGTAACAAAATTAGTCGTTAGGGAAATGTACACGGAAGTCACAATGAGAGGCCACTTTTCACAAGAATGGATAAAATTGAAAAGATTGACTATAACAAGTGTTGGTGAAAATGTGACAGAACTGGAACTCTCATAAAGTGAAAGTGGAAAATAGCTTGGCCATTTCTTTGAAAATTACACACACCTACCGTAAGACCCTACCATCCCACTACTAGTAATTTATCTAAGAGAAATAAAAACATATGTCTATATGAAGACTTGTACACAAGTAAATGTTCATAACAGCTTTGTTTGTAATAGCCAAACTCTGAAAACAACCCTAATGTCCATTAACAAATATATCCTGACAATGGAATATTATTCAGCAACAAAAAGGAATTATTAATACATTAATAAATTATACAGCAACATGTATAAATTGCAAAATAGTTATGCCTAGTGAAAGAATCCAGATGAAGAAAAGAGTACATGCCATATGATTCCCTTAATAGACAAATTCTAGAAAATACAAACTAATCTGTAAGGACAGGAATCAGATCAGCGGTTGCCTGGGAATGAAAATGTGTTTGCAGTGGCAGGGAAAAAGGAATTGTAAAAGAGCAGGAAGAAAGTTTTTTTGTTGTTTTTTTTTTGTTTTTTCTTGAGACAGAGTCTTAGTCTATCGCCCAAGCTGGAGTGCAATGGCACGATCTCAGCTCATTGCAACCTCTGCCTCTCGGGTTCAAGCGTTTTTCCTGCCCCAGCCTCCCAAGTAGCTGGGATTACACATGCGCACCACCACACTCAGCTAATTTTTGTATTTTTAGTAGAGACGGGGTTTTACCATGTTGGCCAGGCTGGTCTCGAACTCCTGACCTCAGGTGATCCACCCGCCTTGGCCTCCCAAAGTGCTGGGATTACAGGAGTGAGCCACCATGCCTGGCCAGGACGAAAGTTTTGGGGATGATGGATGGATGTTCCTTATGTTGATTGTGGTGACGATTCAATAAGTTATGATCAGAACTTATCAAAACATTCACTTTAAATGTGTGCAGTTTATTTTATGTCAGTTATGCCTCAGTTAAGCTGGACAGATGTAGAGGAGGAAGGGAGGGAGAGAGGGGGCTGAGATCAGGACCAAAAGCCAGAGAGAAAGAGACTGAGAATGAGATGAGAGAGAAATGGTATTTAGACAGAAGACAGGCGATAGATGATTGATAGTTGACAGATGATTGGTGGATAGCTGATAGGTAGATGATAAATAGATTATTTTGATAGATAATTGGTAGATAATAAATTGATAGGTAACAGATAGTTGATAGATATTGATAAGTAGATGATAAATACATGATTGATGGATGACAGGTGATTGATAGATGATTGATGGATTATAAATAGGAGATGATTGAGAGGTGAGAGATAATTGATGGTTATTGATTGGTAGATAATTGATTGACAGGTTGATAAATATTGATAGCTAGATGATAGATAAATAGATCATTGGTAGATATGTGATATATTGATAAAGAAATTCAGAGGCAAAAGGAGAGAGAAATGAAGGGGATATCGGAGGGGGAAAAATTTTTTTAAACCGAGAGTGAAACAAGGAGACAGAAGAAAAGAAAGTGGTGAAAAGAGGAAAAGAACTGAGGGAGAAATTAAATGAAACAATGAAGGGAGACAGAGGAAGCATAAGGCCTCTGGCTTTGGCCATATTCTCACCCCTGTGGTCTCCTCTCCCTGGACGGCTGACCAGTCCATTCTCACGCCTCCTCCTCACCCTCATAGGTGACCACCCGCCGGCGGAAGAAGGAAGGAGAATACAACGTCCAGCAACAGTGCCCAGGCTACTACCAGTCACACCTAGACCTGGAGGATCTGCAATGACTGGAACTTGCCGGTGCCTGGGGTGCCTTTCCCCCAGCCAGGGTCCAAAGAAGCTTGGCTGGGGCAGAAATAAACCATATTGGTCGGACACAGTCTCTGAGCCTTCCTTGACGTGACCCCTGACTGGTTCATGTTGGACTAAGAGAACAGTCTTCCACCTTCGTGAAGTCCCAAAGGCAACTCTCAGTTGTGTGTTGTGGTTTCGCACCATGTCATCCCTTGGGAACACCAGAATTGGTGAAAATGATTGTATTAGGCTGTTCTTGCACTGTGATAAAGAAATACCTGGCCGGGCGCAGTGGCTCACACCTATAATCCCAGCACTTTGGGAGGCCCAGGCGGGTGGATCACTTGAGGTCAGGAGTTCAAGACCGGAGCCTGGCCAACTTGGTGAAACCCTGTCTCTACTAAAAATACAATAATTAGCCAGGCATGGTGGTCCACGCCTGTAATGCCAGCTACTTGGGAGGCTGAGACAGGAGAATCACTTGAACCCAGGAAGCAGAGGTTGCAGTGAGCCAAGATCACGCCACTGCACTCCAGCCTGAGTGACAGAGCGAGACTCTGTCTCAAAAAAAGAACAAGAGAAAAAAAAAAAATACCTGGCCAGGCTCGGTGGCTCACGCCTGTAATCCTAGCACTATGGGAGGCCTAGGCAGGCAGGTTGCTTGAGTCCAAGAGCTCGAGACCAGCCTGGGAAACATGGCAAAATGCTGTCTCTACAAAGATTTTTAAAAATAGCCAGGCATGGTGGTGCGTGCCTGTAGTCCCAGCTACCCAGGAGGCAGAGGTGGGAGTATCACCTGAGCCTGGGAGGTTGAGGCTGCAGTGAACTGTGATTGTACCACTGCACTCCACCCTGAATGACAGAGTGAGATCCTGTCTCAAAAAAAAAAAAAAAAAAAAAAAAAAAAAAAACAAAGAAAAAAGAAATACCTGAGACTGGGTAATTTTTAAAGAAAAGAGGTTTAATTGGCTCACAGTTCTGCAGGCTGTACAGGAAGCATGATGTCAGCATCTGATCAGCTTCTGGAGAGGTCTCAGGAAGCTTCCAATCATGGTGAAGGCCAAGGGAGGGCCAGCATGTCACAAGAGAGGGCCAGCATGTCACATGGCCAGAGCAGGAGCAAGGGAGAGTTGGGGGGAGCAAAGGTGCCACACACTTAACCAGATCTCACAAGTACAGACTCCCTGTTGCAAAGGCAGCATCAAACCATGAAGGATCTGCCCCTATGACCCAAGCACCGCCTACCAGGCTCCACCTCCAACACTGGGGATTACAATTCAACATCAGATTTGGTGGGGACACATATCCAAACTACATTACTGATGATATGGACAGGAGACAGGGAAATACTGGGTAGAAGAGGGAGGTTCCCCAGCAAAGGCCCCACCCTCAAGCCTGGAGACCTGTGGCCCTAAATGGGAACAGACAATCCTGTTTTCATGCCCCAAAGTCACCTTTTGGCCCACCATGCTCCCCTATCCTATACCCATATAAACCTCAAACCCCAGGCTCCACAAGCAGAAGAATGGCAGAACGACACAGCAGAGAGAAGAGAAGGAGCATCTGAATGCCGAAAGGAGTTCAACTGGGGACAGTCAGAGAGGAGACTAGCCACTGGACAGCCAAACTCCAGGGGAAGATCATCTTCCCACTCCATCCCCCTTCTAGCTCCCCATCCATCCCACTGAGAACCACCTCCCCCATTCAACAAAACCCTGGCATTCATCCTTCAAGTCTATGTGTGACCTGATTCTTCCTGGATGCTGGACAAGGACTTGGGTACCAAGAGGGCACTGAGCTGGTTAACACTTGAGCCATCCACAGACAGCAAGGCTAAGGAGCACACTGTAACACACAGCCACTTGGGCTTTGGGAGTTGCAGTCTCCCACCTGTGGATGCTGCCATGGGGCCAGAGCCCAGGGACACTGGCCCCGGCTCCTGCACCTGCCTGTCTGTGTGCTCCCCGTCCCATAAGGGGTTTGAGTGCACCCAGCAGCCAAACAGATGAGCCACACCCCTGTCACATGTCCTGCAAGGGAGCTCAGGGAATCCTCCTGTTTCACTGATACAGAAATTGCCATCATGGAGGCTGGGCACGGTGGCTCACACCTGTAATCCCAGCACTTTGGGAGACCAAGACAGGTGGATCACCTGAAGTCAGGAGTTCAAGAACAGCCTGACCAACATAATGAAACCCAACTCCACTAAAAATACAAAAAAATTAGCTGGGTTTAGTGGTGGGTGCCTGTAATCCCAGCTACTCGGGAGGCTGAGGCAGGAGAATCACTTGAATCTGAGAGGTGGAGGTTGCAGTGAGCTAAGATCGCGCCATTGCACTCCAGCCTGGGCGACAGAGCAAGACTCCATCTCAAAAAAAGAAAAAAGAAATTGCCATGGTGGAAAATCAACATTCCACTTCAGTGTAAGGTCTCCCACCTTTGTCACTCAGTACACACCCACCCTTGACTCCTATACCAGCCATCACACCCATCCTGTTCCTTTATATTCCCACATCCCTGCCCCCAAGAAACCCTGGCAGTTGCAAGTTTCTCTTCCACTATTTCATTCTCTGAAACTCAAATGCACCAGAATTTCCAGATTAGTGTTCCCTGGGTGGCATATTATCCATCTCACGGGTCCTCTACAATGGGAAGTAGACCAAGAAGACATAAACGGGTCAGAAATGGTTCTATGGGCCAGGCACAGTAGCTCAAACCTGTAATCCCAGCATGTTGGGAGACCACGGTAGGAGGATCGCTTGAGGCCAGGAGTTAGAGACCAGCCTTGGCAACATAATGAGACCCCCATCTCTACTAAAAGAAAAAAATAGCTGGATGTGGTGGCACACACCTATAGTCCCAGCTACTAGGGAGGCGGAGGCAGGAAGATCCCTTGAGCCCAGGAGGTTGAGGCTGCAGTATGATTGCACCACTGCACTCCAAGTCTGGGCAACACAGTGAGACCCCATCTCTAAAAAAAAAAAATAGAGTGCAATATCTATATTATTTATAGCTTCCCTAAAAATTTGTTATTTTAAAATTTCATCTTTTCTGCTCTGTGCTTCCACGTGGTAATCATGTGTGTCCTAGAATGTGGGGATTTTTTTGGTTTTGTTTTCTTTTGTGTTTTGAGATGGAGTCTCACTCTGTTGCCCAGGCTGGAGTGCAATGGCACGATCTCAGCTCACTGCAACCACCGCCTCCCAGGTTCAAGCGATTCTCCTGCCTCAGCCTCCTGAGTAGCTGAGATTACAGGTGGGTGCCACCATACCCAGCTAATTTTTGTATTTTTAGTAGAGACAGGGTTTCGCCATGTTGGCCAGACTGGTCTTGAATGCCTGACCTCAGGTGACCTACCCACGTTAGCCTCCCAAAGTGCTGGGATTACAGGTGTGAGCCACTGCGTGCAGCCTTAGAATGTGTTTTAATGTTTTGTTTGCTTGAAAAAAAATACCAATAGCCTACATCCAGTCTATATGACTTTTTTTAGATTCCACACAGAAGTGAGGTCAATGCATCATTTTCTATCTGTGTCTGACTTAATTCACTTATCTTAAAGTCAGTAGGCAGTACTCAAGATTATAAAATTATTCAGTGCTTTGTCCTCATCATCACAGGATAAAGCCTACCCAATCAGAATTGATTATTATTTTTGTGAAATATCCCAGTGGATTCCAAAATAATATTTAAGGAAAGAGTTTTTTATATCTACGTTCTCAAATAAGCTATCTAACTCTAGTTATTTTTCTGTTCTTGATTGCCCATTAATTCAGAGTTGCATTTAATGAACTACCAGACTTTCCCTGATTCTCTAAGTCTATATGTGTTTGAAATTTGAATCAGGAAAGTCGACACAATTTGAGGGATAATAATATCAAGAAAAACTTTTCAGGCCGAGCGTGGTGGCTCACGCCTGTAATCCCAGCACTTTGGGAGGCTGAGGTGGGCCAATCACTAGAGGTCAAGAGTTCGAGACCAACCTGACCAACATGATGAAATCTCATCTCTACTAAAAATACAAAAATTAGCTGGGTGTGGTGGTGGGCACCTGTAATCCCAGCCACTTGGGAGGCTGAGGCATGAGAATCGCTTGAACCCAGGAGGCAGAGGTTGCAGTGAGCCAAGATCGCACCACTGTACTCCAGCCTGGGAGACAGAGTAAGACCCCTGTCTCAAAAAAAGAAAAGAGAGAGAGACTTTTCAGTGTTAAGAATCTAACGATGCACCATCGTTCTGCTTGTTGGGAATACGAGTTAAAGTCTATTTGTCTACTTGCCTGATCAAGCTTATTGAATTATTCCAGTCCTCTTTATCATTAATTTGCTTTTGTTTGATGGATTTACCAGTTTCTGAGATTGATGTGTTAAAAATGATAGAATACTGGCCAGGCATGGTGGCCCACACCTGTAACCCCAGCATTTTGGGAGGCTGAGGTGGGAGGTTTGCTTAAGTCTAGGAGTTTGAAACCAGCCTGGGCAACAGAGTGAGACCTTGTCTCTGCAAAAAATAGAAAAAATTAGCCAGATGTAATGGCATGTGCCTGTAGTCCCAGCTACTCAGGAGGCTGAGGCAGGAGGATCACCTGAGTCCAAGAGTTCAAGACTGCAGTGAGGTTTTGTTTGTTTGTTTGGGTTTTTTGGTTTGTTTGTTTTGGGGTTTTTTGTTTGTTTTGTTTTTTGGTTTTTGTTGTTGTTGTTGTTGTTTTGTGAGATGGAGTCTTGCTCTGTTGCCCAGGGTGGAGTGCAGTGGGGTGATCTCGGCTCACTGCAACCTCTGCCTCCTGGGTTCAAGCGATTCCCCTGCCTCAGCCTCCCGAATAGCTGGGACTACAGGTATACATCACCACACCCAGCTAAGTTTTGTATTTTTTGTAGAGACAGGTTTCACCATGTTGGCCAGGTTGGTCTTGAACTCCTGATCTCAAGCAATCCACCCACCTCGGCCTCCCAAAGTGCTGGGATTACAGGCATGAGGCACCGCACCTGGCCTGCAGTGAGTCATGATGGCACCACCGCACTCCAGCCTGGACTACATACATACATACATAGTAAATAAAAATGAGAGTATAACATGAAAAAGAAAAAATCTCCTTTCCCTGCCCACCTGAAACCCAATCTCTCACCTCAAAAAGAAATTATTGTCTTTATTCCCTTGTGTCACACAAAGGAGTGTAATTTTTTGTTTTGTTTTGTTTTGTTTTTGAAACAGAGTCTCAATCTGTCACCCAGGCTGGAGTGGAGTGGTGCAATCTCGGCTCACTGCAGCCTCTGCCTCTGGGTTCAAGCGATTCTCCTGCCTCAGCCTCCCGAGTAGCTGGCATTATAGGTGCCTGCCACCATGCCCAGCTAATTTTTGTATTTTTAATATAGATGGGGTTTCACCATGTTGGCCAGGCTGGTCTTGAACTCCTGGCCACAAGTGATCACCCGCCTCAGCCTCCCAAAGTGCTAGGATTACAGGCATGAGCCACCGCACCCTGTTCTGAGCTTACTTACTTAGGTGCTCTTAGGTGCTCACCCAGCCTAATTTTTTTTTTTTTAAGTATTGGCATATTTTAAAGTTTCAAGAGCTTAAAGCAAAAAAACCTCATTGGGGACACTGCAAAGAGATGTTAATAAAGGATTACACTTTATTTCATCTGCACTATCTTCCCTTTTTTTCTTAGCGTTTTTCAGGACGGCCTTCTTGGTCTCTCACTTTCTCTGCCTCATTAGCGAGTCCATCCGCAATCAGTGCTATTGCGAGTCTCTCTCTGACTGTCTTCACTTTCCCTTCCTGTTTCCTGATATCTTCCTCAGTAACCAGAAATTGTTTGCAGAGGAGCTGCGAGATACCCACTCCCTCTGCAGGAATTATCTCCACCGCATCTGAAGAGCAGGCAAGGTGGGGCATGGGGCAGGAGTGCTCCAGACCACTGGCAAGATCCTCCAGCAGAGATCCACCTGTGTAACTAGGGACAAGTTTTTGCAAGGTATTGGCAAGATCCAAAGTGCTTGAAAGTTCTCCTGCACTGCTGTAAGCCTGGAGTCCCTGCAGTCTCCTCTGCCAGCAGACCTGCTGAGGCTTCTCCAAGCTCTCCTCCCATTGATGGTATCTGACCTCATTGCCAGGATGGGGTGTAATTCTCGTTACTGGCCTCTTGAATGTGTAACTGGACATTCTCAAAGGGATTGAGGTGCTCAAGCCAGGCTTTGATTTGCATTGGTTTACACAGTCACGTTGCTTCCTCTGTGAACTCTTGGCCATCACACTTCTTTTCCTCTTACACTATTAAAATAAATCATGAAATGGGGTCAAATTGATCAATGAAGCCTGCCTTCTCAGGACAAGGATCTCAGCTGTTCTGGACTTTCATCCTTCCTCTCTCCCTCTGGGGATAGGTCTGACCTGCTTCCTGGGACATCATCAGGCAGATTTGAGTCAAGCACAGAAAGTTCAAGGTCAAAATCTCCTTCATCATCCTGCAAACCCCCTCCTTGTTTGAGTACTATTTTATTCTCTTTCTGCCCTTGTCACTCTTAAATGCTCAAGTCCTGATACTCCCTCTCATGACAAATATGACAGTCTTTTTCTAAATCTCAAATCTTGCCTTTTTTTTTTTTTTTTGTCCCACTCCGTCACTCAGGCTGGAGTGCAGTGGTGCAATCACAGCTCACTGCAGCCTTTACCTCCCCAGGCTCAAGTGATCCACCCACCTGAACCTCCCGCGTAGCTGGGACTACAGGCGTGCATCACCATGCCTGGCTGTTTGTGGTTTTTGTAGAGACGAGGTTTCACCATATTGTCCAGGCTGGTCTGGAACTCCTGAACTCAAGTGATCCACCCCCCCTCGACCTCCCAAAGTGCTGGGATTACAGGCATGGGCGACCGTGCCCAGCCCAAATCCTGCCATTCTTATGCATTACTTGACTATTCATCTGTTTAACACATTGACCTCTTGGTTTGCACAGTTCCTGCAGCTTGTAAGTCAATAATGAAATTATCAACTGCTCTGCTCTTTGAGCCTTAATCCCACACCCCAGACATTTTCAGCAACCCAAACAGCCATGCTCAAAAATAAATAATTCTGACCCAGCACAGTGGCTTACATCTGTAATCCCAGCACTTTGGGAGGCCAAGGCAGGCGAATCGCTTGAGGTCAGGAGTTCAAGACCAGCCTGGCCAACATGGCGAAACCCCATCTCTACAAAAAATACAAAAATTAGCTAGGCATGGTGGCGGGCACCTGTAATCCCAGCTACTCGGGAGGCTGAGGCAGGAGAATAGCTTGAACCCGGGAGCTGGAGGTGGCAGTGAGCCGAGATCGCACCACTGCACTCCAGTCTGGGCAACAGAGCGAGACTGTCTCAAAACAAATAAATAAATAAATCGGAAAACTTATTCACCCACTATAAATTTCTGATTTCCAGGTTTTTTAATTCAAATGCCCATACCATAGATACCTGTTCTTGATGAACATACCTTGAGGAGCAAGTATCTGTGATTTGGGTATTTGAATTACTCCGGACCTCCGTATCTTCACCTTCCTCTCTCTCCTCTGATTCCTAGCACTCTTGGATTCTGTGGTCTGCGACCTCAATATTTCCCTTAGAGGCCGGGCACGGTGGCTCCACGCCTGTAATCTCAGCACTTTGGGAGGCCGAGGTGGGTGGATCACTTGAGGCCAGGAGTTCAAGACCAGGCTGGCCAACATGGTGAAACCCCATCTCTACCAAAAAAAAAAAAAAAGAATTAGCTGGGTGTGGTGGCGCACACCTGTAGTCCCAGCTACTCGGAAGGCTGAGGTGGGAGAATCACTTGAACCCAGGAGGTGGAGGTTGCAGTGAGCAGAGATCACATCATTGCACTCCAGCCTGAGCAACAGAATGAGACCCTGTCTAAAAAAAAAAAAAAAAATTCATTTAGATTAATCCAAAATTCCTTACCACTTATCACACCTGCCTTGTAAAACTTCAAACTTGGAAGGTCCCTGTTCTCTGTGACGCCATGGCTACCACCGTCATATGATCACTGCTGAAAAAAGAATCACGTGACATGACGTCTTAGTGCCACTATAAATACAAAATATTCTCCATCAACTGGGAAGAATCCATCATGCGTAGAAACTTTATTTTCTGTGTATGCACTGTCATGTTTACTCCTTGATTTTCCCCAAAACCTGTTGCAAAATTTTCTCCAGCTTTCTTTTTTCCTCATAGATATTTAATTCTCCTTAACTTACCTGATGGTTCCCAAAGACGTTAGTTGCCAAATCTGCAAATATCCCTGATAAGCATTGAATGTTTCCAAATTTCCTTTAATTGTATTTAAAGAGATTTCCTGCCAGGCATGGTGGCTCACACATCTAATCCCAGCACTTTGGTAGGCTGAGGCGGGAGGGCCACTTGAACACAGGAGTTTGAGACCAGTCAGGGCAACGTAGGGGGACCCCCATCTCTACTAAAAATTAAAAAGTTAGCTGGGGGTGATGATACATGTCTGAGGTCCCAGCTGAGTGAGGGAGGCCGAGTGAAGAGGATAGCTTGAGCCCAGGAGGTCGAGGTTGCAGTGAGCGGCAATCAGGCCACTGTACTCTAGCCTTGGCAACAGAGCAAGACCTTGTCTCATAAATACATAAATATGTTTCCTTTATCCACCAAGAGTGATCTGAGCCTCATTCCTTCTTCCTTTTTGTTAATTTTATGCTTCCAATATTGCAATGTAACCTTTGTATCATCTGTTTTTGTTTTTTTTTTTTTTTTGAGACGGAGTCCCGCTCTATAGCCCAGACTGGAGTACAGTGGGATGATCTGGGCTCACTGCAACCTCCACTGCCCGGGTTCAAGCAATTATCTTGCCTCAGCCTCCCAAGTAGCTGGGATTACAGGCACATACCTCTATGTCCAGCTAATTTTTTGGTATTTTTAGTAGCGATGGGGTTTCGCCATGTTGGCCAGAGTGGCCTCGAACTCCTGACCTCATGATCTGCCCGCCTCAACCTCCCAAAGTGCTGGGATTACAGATGCCCCCATATCTTTAACTTCTGTTTTTCTACTGAATCCCTTCTTCGGCATTTAAACATGTTCAAGTTTCTCCGAGCTACACAGACACTCCTCTCCTAAACTTCCTGGGACCCCCTCCTTCACCACTACTGCCTATCCCTTCCCCTTAGCTATGAACCACTGAGAAAAGATCATCTACATCTATGTCTCCTATCTCCTCACCTCCAGCAACTCCTCAGGCCACCCCAAACTTCTGTTTTCCTTCACCGTTCTCAGCTGCTTCTGTTGCTAAGGCCACAATGACCCCTTTGTTGTTAGATCCCAAAGGAATTCTCATTATTCATCTGACATGACTCTTGAAGTGGAAAGCTTTGAAGTATGCTTGGAACAACCTGGACATGTGAATCTTACTTTACAGCTGTGAACCCTAGAAAATCTAAATATGGCCAGGCACGGTGGCTCACACCTGTAATCCCAGCACTTTGGGAGGCCGAGGCGGGCAGATCATGAGGTCAGGAGATTGAGACCATCCTAGCTAACACAGTGAAACCCCATCTCTACTAAAAATACAAAATATTAGCCATAATATTAATACAGGTGGGTGTGGTGGCACACACCTGTATCCCAGCTACTCAGGAGGCTGAGGCAGGAGAATGGCGTGAACCTGGGAGGCGGAGCTTGCAGTGAGCCGAGATGGCGCCACTGCACTCCAGCCTGGGCGACAGTGCGAGACTCTGTCTCAAAAAAAAAAAAAAAAAGAAAAGAAAAGAAAAAAAAGAAAATCTAAATACGGGGCAAGTACATCTGATAACATTCAACTCGCAAATTGAGATGTGCCATCAGTGGAAAGTACGAACTGGATTTCTGGAACTCATTACAAAAAACAAAAATCATTTAAAAGGTCTCATGTGGAGTCCTAATAAGATAAGTAACCAACAACAAGGAAAGGGCCCCTGGTTGGGGGAGAACAATTGTTCTGAGAGATGGCTAACTGCAAACAACCCACTGGCATGACATTCTGTTCCAAAAGACCTCGGTCTGCACATAGTCCCAGGAACACGACCTTATCTGCACACCTCACGTGCACATAGCCGCCTCCAGCACGACCCTATAAAATCCCCTCCAACCTCTGCCTCTTTGCAAATGGCCCCTTCTCTTCTGTGCTGCCTGTTGCATCCTTGCAACCTATCTTCATATCTTCTCTAATAAATCTGTCTTTCTTTACCTACGACTGTCTTGGGAAATTATTTTACCACCAACAATGCCAGCCCCAGCCAGTCGCACCTAAAACGTCTCAATAATTTTTACATTGATTGCATGCACACATGAGAATATGTTGGCCATCGCAGGTTAAAATAGACTTTTAGAATTCATTGTGTGTGGCATGCCATCTGTGGCTGAGGTGCTATATTGGTGCTTATCTAGGAGTTATCACCAGACAGCCTGTGTTCTGTGCATGCTTGGTTGTTTGCAGAGTTGCATAGCCTTCAAAACATTTACTATCTCAATATATCCATGTCCTCGGGAGAGGGTTAGGCAATATGCAGTTTGTTTCCATGGGACATCTCCATCCTTAGCAATTCCTTTGGGGATTATTTGACATCTGTCATTTCCACAGGTGGCCTTGCCCTGGAGGAAGGTGATAGTGGGGCTGCTGATCTTTTTTTTTTTTTTTTTTTTTTTTTTTTTTTGAGATGGAGTCTTGCTCTGTCGTCCAGGCTGGAGTGCAGTGCAGTGATGCGATCTCGGCTCACTGCAACCTCTGCCTCCTGGGTTCAAGCGATTCTCCTGCCTCAGCCTCCTGAGTAGCTGGGACTACAGGTGTGCACCACCACGCCCAGCTTATTTTTTGTATTTTTAGTAGAGACGGGGTTTCACCATGTTATCCAGGATGGTCTCAATCTCTTGATGTCATGATCCGCCCGCCTCGGCCTCCCAAAGTGCTGGGATTACAGGCGTGAGCCACCGTGCCTGGCCAGGGCTGCTGATCTTCTGGGTAGAATTTCAGCCTTGCTGTCTCCTGTGTATAAGGAACTCTGCCTGCTCCATCTTGGTCCCTTCCAGTTGTTTCACTTCAAGTTTCTTTACCTCCTTCTCTTCCTTACTAACCAAAATATGGAATGAAATATTTAGTAGCAATTATTTTATGCGTCATCTGGTTAGGTGGAAGCTACTAGTTGTTTTTACTCTAGCAGAATTAAGGTAGCCGGAAGTGACTATCAGAGTATAAAGTATCCTCAGATCTCAGGTACTCTGTGGGAAAGCAAGAACTTGTCTTGTCCATGAGGCCAGTGTGAAGGGTGAGGGTCTTTATCCCTGTCACAAGGCTTGAGGCAAAACTTTGCACTCTGCCTTCTGCCCTCCAGCCAGAGAAGTTTCTAGCCACCCCCATTCGAGGCAGAAAGGGTCCAGGCATTAAGTGGTTGTCGAGCCCTGGAATTTTATATTCCTAGACTTTGTGGGTTACAACATGGATACACACTGCCGACTTCATTCTGCAGCCAGCTTCTCACATCTAACAATATATCCCGATTGTAATTTAATATAACTAAATGTACATTGACATTGTTGTTTTAAGGCCCATGAATGTCATTTCATACGGCTACACCAGTACTTATTTTGCCATTGTTACTAATCTTCTGTCATATTAAATAGGAGGTAGATGATCAATCCTTTTTAACAAGGTTCAAACATTTCTCTGATTTAGATCACTGTAAAATTGCTGGGTTGATAAATATGCACATTCGTACAGCTTTGGGTATATGTTACCAAGTACCTGCTGAGAAACTGGTACTTATCAATGCTGCTAGCAGAGGGCGAGGTCATTCATTTCTTCATGTCTTGACAAACTGGCCATTTAAAATGTTTTGCATTACTTGAGAGGCACAAACATAATGCCATTATTTTAATTTATGCCTCTTTGCTAATTAGAGTATTGGGCAGTTGTATGTATTTGTAAAGGAGTGTGTGGTTCATAGCCTTTGTCTTTGATGATGTTTTTACTGGCTTGTTCATCTTTTGCTTATTTATCCAAAATATTCTTTATGTAATAATGATATGAGCCCACATGTCATAGATTTTTACAATTATTTATCCCCAGTTTGTTTTGCCATTTAATAATGTGATGGTGTGGAAAATTAAGATACACTTAAGCTGGATACGATGGGGTCATGCCTAAAATCCCAGCACTTTGGGCAGCCAAGGCAAAGGGATTGCTTGCGCTCAGGAGTTCGAGACTAGCCTCTGTGGTGTGGCGAGTCCCTGTCTCTATAAAAAATACAAAAACTAGCTGGGCGTGGTGGTGCACGCCTGCAGTCCCAGCTACTCGGGAAGCTGAGGAGGGAGAATGACTTGAGCCCAGGAGGTCGAGGCTGCAATGAGCCATGTTTGCACCACTGCACTCCAGCCTGGGTGACAAAGCAAGATCCTGTCTCCAAAAAAAAAGAAAAAAGAAGAAAGAAGGAGGAGGAGAGGGGGGGAGGAGGAGGAAAAGGAAGAGAAGAAGGAGGAGGAGGAAAGAAGAAAGAAGAAGGAGGAGGACAAGGAGGAGGAGGAAGGGGAGGAGTAAGGAAGAAGGAAGAAAGGAGGAGGAGGAAGAGGAAGAAGAGAAGAACTCACATTTTTGTAGTATTTTACTTTTTCCACTTTTCTTCTATTATTTTGAGGAAGAAGCACTCATATTTATGTAGTATTTTATTTTTCCACTTTTATTCTCTTATTATGCCTAACTGAAGAATTTATGTGTATAATTCTACATTTTTTAAATAAAAACTTTATTGAGCTACCATAATATTCAACCTTTTAAAGTGTACAGTTTTTACACTTTTGTGTAAAATGGTTTTTAGTACATTCACACAGTTGCGCAATCGTCACCACTATCTAATCTTATTTTCATCTAAAATGAAATCCATACCATTACCCACTTCCCCTCATTTCCCTTTTCCCCAACATTTGCCACTAATCTATTGTCTCTTTGGATTTTCTTATTCTGGAAATTTTATTTAAATTGAATTATACAAAATGTGGGTTTTTTATGAGTGGCTTCTTTTACTTACCGTAATGTTTTCAAGGTTCATCCATGGAATATGTATTCTGTTTAATGGATGAATAATAATCCGTTGTGTGGATATACCACATTTTATTTATCCATTCATCAGTTGACTGATATTTGGGACATACAAAATTTTGGGCTATTATGTATAATGCTGCTATGAACATTCATGTACAAGCTGTCATGTGAACACATGTTTTCATTTCTCTTGGGCATATACTGGAAATAAAATTGCTGGGTCACGTGGCAACTCTATGACTTTTTGAGGAACTGCCAAACTATTTTGCAAAGTGGGTGCACCATTTTACAATCCTGACAGCAATGTATAAGAATTCCAATTTCTCCTTGTCTTTGCCAATCTTTGTTATTGGCTATCTTTTTAATTTTAATTATCCCAATGGGTGTGAAGTAGTATTTTATTGAAGTTTTGATATTAACTTCCCTAATGATTAATGGGGCCGAGCATCTTTTCATGTATATATTTGCCATTTGTGTATCTTCTTTGTAGAAATGACGATTCGAACTCTTTGTTCATTTTTCAGGCTGGGTGCAGTGGCTCACACCTGTAATCCCAGCACTTAGGGAGGCCAAGGTGGGCAGATCACTTGAGGTCAGGAGTTCAAGACCAGCCTGGCCAACATGGCAAAACCCTCTCTCTGCTAAAAATACAAAAATTAGCCAGGCGTGGTGGTGAACGCCTGTGGTCCCAGCTACTTGGGAGGCTGAGGCAGGAGAATCGCTTGAATCCAGGAGGCAGAGGATGCAGTGAGCCAAAATGGTGCCACAGCACTCCAGCCTAGGTGACAGAAGGAGACTCCACCTCAAAAAGAAAAAAAAAAAAAAACTCTTTGTTCACTTTTAATTGGGTATCTTTTTATTGCTGAGTCGCAAGCCTTTATATATTTTGAATACAAGTCATGTATCAGATAAATCATTTGTAAATGTCTTCACCCAGTCCATGTTTGTCTTTTTTCTTGATGGTGTCCTTTGAAGCATCAATGTTTTTTAATGTTAAGTCCAATTTATATATTTTTTCTTTCGCCACCTGTTTTTGATGTCATATCTAAGAAACAATTGCCTAACCCAAGATCACAAAGTTTGACACCTATGTTTTCTTCCAAGAAGTTTATAGTTTTAGCTCTTACCTTTAGGTCTATGATCTATTTTGAGCTCACTTTTGTACATGGTGTGAAGTAGAGGTCCAATTTCATTCTCTGTTTTTTGTTTGTTTCTTGGTTGGTTGGTTTTTTTTTTGTTTTTTTTTGGTTTTGGTTTGTTTTTTTTTTTTGATGGAGTCTCGCTCTGTTCTCAGGCTGGAGTGCAGTGGGGTGATCTCGGCTCACTGCAATCTCCACCTCCTGGGTTCAAACGATTCTTCTGCCTCAGTCTCCCGAGTAGCTGGGACTATAGGCGCCCGCCACCACGCCCAGCTAATTTTGGTATTTTTAGTAGAGACGGGGTTTCACCATGTTAGCCAGGATGGTCTCGATATCTTGACCTCGTGATCTGCCTGCCTCAGCCTCCCAAAGTGCTGGGGTTACAGGCGTGAGCCACCACGCCCAGCCCAATTTCATTCTTTTGTATATTGGCATCTAGTTGTCCCAGCACAATTTGTTGAAGAGAACAGTCTTTCCACAGTGAACTTTCCTAGTATATTGAATTTTGAACTTGTTCATTTTTGCTTAAACTTCCTTCAGCCACCTGAAAATGGATATTTTTGGGAAGCAGAGATCTAACTATTTTTTTCTGAAAGGACGGGTGCATGAAACAATATCATTCATTGAAAGTATTTCTTCCTGGCTGATTTTAAATGTTACCACTCTCTTACATAAAATTTTTTCCCTTTGCACTTACCAGTATCTTTTTTTGTTTATGGTTTTTGGTTTTTGTTTTGTTTTGTTTTTTGAGATGGAGTCTTGCTCGTCACCCGGGCTGGAGTGCACCGGCTGCAATCTCGGCTCACTTCAACCTCCACCTCCCGAGTTCAAGCTATTCTCCTGCCTCAGCCTCCCAAGTACCTGGGATTACAAGGCATCCGCCACCACGCCCGGCTAATTTTGTATTTTTAGTAGAGACGGGGTTTCACCATGTTGGCAGGCTGGTCTCGAACTCCTGACCTCAGGTGATCTGCCTGCCTCGGCCTCCCAAAGTGTTGGGATTACAAGCGTAAGCCACCAGGTCCAACCAGCACTTAGTGGTATCTAACGCACCAACCCACCATGTATTCTATTTATCACATTCACTGTCCATTTCTCCTGCCCAACTCACAACTAAAATGCACGTTCTCTGAGGGCAAGGACGTTTACCTATTTTGTTCAGTCTATATCCATGGTGTATAAAACAGAGACTTGTTGGGGGGGAGGTAATAGCATTTATTCCATGAATATGACTACGGCATACACACATACACACACATACATGTCCACACTATATCTGGAAAGATAGAGGAGAAAATTATTTTTGCCTCTGAGCAAAAGAACTGAAAGACCGTGGTGGGAGAATATTTGACTGACTTTGTACCATTCTTAAGTTTTCCTATATGTGTATCTATGACCCAGTCCTCTCCTGCTCCCCTAAACTCTTAGTGTTAAATCACTATGTTCTGCCTTGGGAAAGCAAGTTATAGACAAATGTGCATACATAATCTGATCCTATTGGGTTGTATGAACATGGGGCAGTAACTGTATCAACAATCTAGGGATCCAAGGAAGGCCCTACCCCTGAATCTGATCTCCCACAATCCTGGCTCCTGGGCCTATCCCAACCCACCCACATCATACACCCTTTTATTCATACCCAGATCCCTGCCCCTGGAACTGGTCTCCACCCACTGCCCCCTCCCCAGGCCTGGTGCAGCCCACAGTCCCGCCCCCAGAACTGGTCTCCGCCCACAGTCAGCCCCGCCCCCAGGCTTGCTGCCACCCCATAGCTCCGCCCCTAGAACTGCTCTCTGCCAATCACCACTGCCCTCCAAGACCGGTACACCCACAGCCTAGTCCCCGCCCTCCGCCCGGCCCGGAGCTTATCTCCGCCCACAGCCAGCCCCAACCTCCAGGGCTGTCACAACCACAGCCTGGTTCCCGCTCAGCCCCGCCCCGGAAATGGAGGTCTCCACCCCTGTAACTGGTCTCTGCTCAGTCATCCCCGCTCTAGAAGCCTTATACCATCCGCCCCGAGAACTGGGCCCCACCCACAGCCCCGACCCTGGAACTGGTCTCTGCCCAATCAGCCTCGCCCTCCAGGCCTGGTACGGCCTCAGCCGGTTCCCCGCCTTCAGCCCCGCCCCGGAACTGATCTCCGCCCACAACCAGCCCCGCCCCCAGGCCTCGTGCGGCTCACAGCCTGGCCCCGCCCCCAGGGCCAACCTTACCCCCGCTACTGCCCCAGGCCAGGGCCCAACTTTGTGCCCACTAAGCAAACTAGAACACCTCTGCCCAAGGCTGGGGTTCGCGGCCGCCGCTCCCGCCCGCCGCGCCTGTCGCCTAAGCGCCGAACCCCCAACACGCTCGACTCTGCGAGGCTGCCCGCGCGAGCCGGAAGGGGACGTGCAGCGCACCTCTCCCCAGACCGGAAGCGGAAGCGCGGGGCGGTACCGTGGGAGGGGCCGCGCGTGGGGCAGCGGGGAGCGAGTCCCTCCGTCCCCGCGAGTCGGCGCTTTTGGCCCCGCGGGAGGGGCCGGGCTCGGTGAGCGACTGGCGGGGGCTCGGGTCCGAGTCCAGGGGGCGACGTGGGCCGCGGACACCGCCAGCCACGGGCCCTGCGTCCCTCCAGGGAGCCGTGTTTCGGTTCATGAGGCCTCGGGCTGTGAGCTTAGGTCAGCACGAAGCTGCTGCTTGCTCCTGGGTCGGGGCCCCGCGCCGCTGTTGCCTCCTCAGGGAACCCCAGTCGCCCTCACCCGGGGCGATTCCGCACCCCAGGGGACTTTTGGCTGTAGCTGGAGACGACTGTGGTTTTCACAAATTGTGGGGAGGGGAGGCTGCTACTGTCACCTAGAGGGTGGAGGCCGGGGAAGAGGGACGCTGCTTGCTCTTAAAGATCCTACGTTGTACAGGACAGTCCCCCACAACAAAGAATTATCAGTAGTGCCAGGTTGGGAAACCCTGCTCTAGGGCCTTAAAAAAAAAATCTCTGCAGTTCTGAATAAACTACATAAATTGTTAAAAATTCAGTTTAGTCACTTAATAGGGCCTCTAAGTGACAAGATATTTTTAAAGCCTGTGGAGTCACCATAGAATCTCTCTCCAGCGTAGTAAGTTGAGCAAGTCAAATGCACACAGCGTTAAGCTGCTTTCTCCCCTCTTACGGAGCAGATGGCCAGATGGGAATCAGGTAAAGCCAGTCATGGCCCACAGGCTGGGCCCTTATTACACATTTAATCATTGAGTACCCAAAAAAAGTGAATGGGATGGTGTTTCCGGCAGCCGTATCCAACAACTGTACAACCTATACAAAGCCTCGAAAGAAATCTTTGTGTCTTTTTTTTTTTTTCAGATGAGAAAAGCATCATTCAAGCTCAGATTCGTGTTGAAGCCTGCCACAAGGTCCACCTGTTGTTGTGGGTTTTTGGGTGACCAGGTGAGTACAGTGTGGAACCTACAACAAGGTTTCAGCAGGCTCTGCTGTGTAGAAGAACTCCTCGTGGGCTTTTCCTGTGCTGGGGTTGTAACCACATTGAAGTCACTAAGAGTGAAG
The DNA here is from genome assembly GCF_000001405.40 of Homo sapiens. Classification (NCBI taxonomy): domain Eukaryota; kingdom Metazoa; phylum Chordata; class Mammalia; order Primates; family Hominidae; genus Homo; species Homo sapiens. The sequence goes on along the minus strand of NW_025791807.1, from coordinate 66,143 downwards.
GTATCTTAAGGAAAGTTCAAGGTAAAAAGACAGAGGTGTTTATGGTTACATGTGTGTAAATAAGTAAATACAGTTACATGCAAATAAGTATCCACAAAACAAACATACAAATAACGTAAAGATGTGTAACTGTAGCTAAAGACAGATTTTCTGGTATGCCGTAATGCTAAAAGTTTCTGAATTTTATATAAGTATAGAAAATATTTACATGTATATGTAGTGTTACAAGTCTTCCCACTAACAACTAGCAGGACTACTTAGCAACATTTTTCAGGCCTGTTTGATTTGACTTTTTTTTTTTTTCTTGAGACCAAGTCTCACTCTGTTGGCCAGGTTGGAGTGCAGTGGCGCGATCTTGGCTCATGTCAACCTCCACCTCCCAGACTCAAGCAAATCTCCTGCCTCAGTTTCCTGAGTAGCTGGGACTACAGGCAAGTGCCACCACGCCCAGCTAATTTTGTTTGTATTTTTAGTAGAGACAGGTTTTTGCCATGTTGGCCAGGCTGGTCTTTAACTCCTGACCTCAAGTGGTCCGCCCACCTCAGCCTCCCAAAGTGCTGGGATTACAGGCAAGAGCCACCGCACCCAGCTGTTGATTTGATTTCTAAAGGCATATTGGCCCTCCACCAAACTTCAAAATATAAGGGCATTTGTAAAAAGGATGATTTATTAGTAACAAATTTAAAATTAAATTGACCGGCGACCAGATGTGTTTTGAGTAATGGGATTTTTTTTTTCCTAATGAGATTTGAAAACATTTGGAAGAATATTAAGCAACAACTTATAGATTGAAGGGTAGGGAACTGGTTTCCAAAAAGATTGTCCTCTGCACCTTGCCTCCTGTATTAGTCCTTTTTCACACTGCTATAAAGAACTACCTGAGAGTTTTCACACTGCTATAAATAACTCCCTGAGACTGAGTGACTTACAAAGGAAAGAAGTTTAATTGACTCAGTTCTGCATGGCGGGGGAGGCCTCAGGAAACTTACGATCATGGCAGAAAGCAAAGGGAAAGCAAGGCACGTCTTACATGGCAGCAGGAGAGAGAGAGAAGACATAAACGCCAAACTTCTAAACCATCAGATCTTGTGGGAACTTACTATCAGGAGAACAGCAAGGGGGAAGTCCGCCCCCATGATTCAGTCACCTCCTACCAGGACCCTCCTCTGACACATAGGGATTATTACAACTCGAGATGAGATTTGGGTGGGGGGACACAGAGCCAACGATATCACCTCCTAATAGGAATTAACTTTGTTTCTTAAAACTTCTCTGAAATAACAGTATGGTGATTCATATTGCAGAGAATCATGTTAAGTAATCTAGTATTAAATTGTGGGGTTTCTACTAATTGTGTGTGTGTTCACCTTTTCCATTCTAGCTTTCCTACAGCATTCTTGAAGGAATGTTTACTTATCATGCAATAGATATTATTTGAGTGCACAGTTAATGGTGACCAACCATCCTCATTTTTTCAGGACCAAGGGGTTTGCTAGGGCACAGGGCATCCAGTGTTCAAACCGGGACAATCCTTGGCAAACCAGGTCGCCTCCATGAGTCAGGTCCTAGGTCAGATGCACAGGGACCCTGGAGGACCTGAAATGGCCCCTGTCCTACATAAAGTTTACCTTCTAACAGGGAAGATAAATTTTAAACCATGAATGACAGGAGTGATGTGGGAGCTTGGCACTAGTGAACTTGATCAGAGGGAACAGGGAAGCTTTCTTGGGAAGGATATTTAGCTTGAGAGCTTAAGTTGTTACAGAACCAAACTGGGGTCTGCTCACCTGGTGGTGCAGTGAAACCAGATGTCTATATTGAGGGTTGCTACGATAGATAGAAAGGCTTTTATTGCACAGCACTAAGCAAGGAGGACCAGACATTAAATGTTCAAATCCTGGCCTCCCCAGTGGCTTTTAGGCAAGGAATTTTTTTTTTTTTGAGATGGAGTCTCACTCTGTTACCCAGGCTGGAGTACTGTGTTGCAATCTCAGCTCACTGCAACCCCCGGCCTCCCGGGTTCAAGCAGTTCTGCCGCAGCCTCCTGAGTAGCTGGGATTACAGGCGCCTACCACCATGCCCGGTTAATTTTTGTATTTTCAGTAGAGACGGGGTTTCACCATGTTGGCCCGGCTGGTCTTAATCTCCTGACTTCGTGATCCACCCGCCTCAGCCTCCCAAAGTGCTGAGATGATACAGGCATGAGCCACCACACCCGGCCTTTTTTTTTTTTTTAATGAGACAGAATCTCACTTGGTCACCCAGGCTGGAGTGCAATGGCACGATCTCAGCTCACTGCAACGTCTGCCTCCCAGGTTCAAGTGATTTTCCTGCCTCAGCCTCCCCAGTCCCTAGGATTACAGGCACATACCACCACACCTGGCAAATTTTTTGTATTTTGAGTAGAGACAGAGTTTCACCATGTTAGCCAGGTTGGCCTCAAACTCCTGACCTCAGGTGATCCGCCTGCCTAGGCCTCCCAAAGTGCTGGGATTACAGACATGAGCCACCGTGCCCGGCTAGGCAAGGATTTCTGAAGGCAATGGTAAGTTACAGAAAAGCAGAAGCTACAGGCAAAATCATAAAGCAATACATGGAGGTTACACACTGGTTTAGACTTAAAAGGGCAAGGATGTCTTGAAGCAGGAGCTTGTCATAGGTAGATTCAAAGATTTTTCTGATTTGTAATTGGTTAAAGAAAAGAAGCTTTGTTTAAAAATTTAGAGTCAGTAGGAAAATGTTAACTGGCTGGGAGAAGTGACTTTCTCCAAGCCCCTCAAGAAGAAACTTAGCACAAAGAACGCTGAAGCTCAGCCTTCATGTCCCGCTTATCTGGGGTCTCTGAGCCAGCAGCTCCATTTGGTGGGGTCCTCAGTGGGAGTCCCAGCCTCTGAAAGGCAACTCAGGGACGCATGTTAAGATGTTATCTTTAGTTTCCATGGGGAAAGCGAACATCTCTGGAGCCTTAACTTCTTTGGCTGTTGTTTTAGGTTACTATTACCTTCCTGTTTAACAAGTTCCATATTTACTTTTGGGGCTAGCTGGATGCTCGGAATTTCCCTTAAAGGAACTTCAGGATTTTCCTTTATTTTCCCACTTGGGGTTCACAGGCCCCTGAAAAAGGGAATTGCTGCTCCATCTCCAAGTTGGGGTCAGATGTAGCTAGTCATAGGGCTCGACTAGAGTGAGGGGACAGGGTTATGTCCAAGAGAGCACTGCCGTCGAAGAAGCTGTGTAAGGAAAGGCCCTGCAGCAGGAGAGAGGCTGCCACGCTCCCTGCACTGGGAACACAGGGATGGCTGAAGCCGAGACAAGAACAGGGAAAGAAGCTGGGCGCAGTGGCTCACACCTGTAATCCCAGCACTTTAGGAGACCAAGGTGGGCTGATCACCTGATGTCAGAAGTTCAAGACCAGCCTGGCCAACATGGTGAAACCCCGTCTCTACTAAAAATACGAAAATTAGCTGGGTGTGGTGGTGCACACCTGTAGTCCCAGCTGCTCGGGAGGCTGAGACAAGAGAATTGCTTGAACCTGGGAGGCTGAGGTTGCAGTGAGCAGAGATTGCACCACTGCATTCAGCCTGGGTGTAAGAGTGAGACTCCTCAAAAAAAAAAAAAAAAAAAAAAAAGAATAGGGAAAGAAGTGTGACCAAGACCAAGATCAAGAGGGAGGCAGAACCATACTAGGCCTCACTTCAGACTCTGTTCTCAGGCCAGTGGGAAGACACTAAAGAGTTGTGGGCCAGAGGGTGATGCAATTTGCATGTAGTGTAAGCATGCAGATAACAAGGACTTCAGGATTCAGAAGGAAGACATTTAAGAGGCAAAAGAGGGGGTGTTTGGAGGTAGTTTAGGAATCAGATGATTGCTCCCAAAAAAAATAAAATTTATTTTCTCAGCCATACTAGTCACATTTCAAGTATTAGAGCAGAATTATAGAACATTTCCATCATCACCAGAAGTTGTGTTGGGCAGCTGACATAGAGTGGCCCATCTGCTGTGACCATCCTCCAGCACTGTATCCAGGGCAGGGCAGGTGTCACAGGATCTGTAAACTGAAGAGACCCCTCCTGTCCTAGTGGGAAATTTCTGCTTCCAGACAGCCTTGAATAGGGACTTGGGGCCTGAAAATGTCCCAGGTACCTTCTCTACTTGTTTTTTTCTTGGAGGCCCAGTGAGCTGGCTGGAGGCCAACCCCCCCTCACTCCCCAGCTCAGTGACTGGAACTACTGTGTGCCTACCTGCACATTAGGTCTGTTACGGGGAAAAAGGAGATACTTCCCCCTGTAGAGGGTAGGGAAGTTCTGCAGCAGTTGCCTGGGTCTGCTGAACTCACCCAAAGGGAAGGTGTGATGTGAAAGGCATGTTAGTTTCCTATTGATGCTATAACAAACTACCACAAATTCAGGGACTTAAAACAACACACATTTATCCTCTTGCCTTGCTGGAGGTCAGAAATCCTCAATAAGCTGGAAGGCCTGCATTCCCTCTAGAGCAGGAGTCCCCAGCCCCTGGGCCACGGACCAGTGCTTATAAACAGGGCTGCACAGCAAGATGTGAGTGGCAGGTGAGCGAAGCTTCATCTGTATTTACAGCCACTCCTCATTGCTCGCATTACCACCTGAGCTCCACCTCCTGGCCGATCAGTGGCAGCATTCGATTCTCATAGGAGCCCAAACCCTATTGTGAACTTTGCATGTGAGGGATCTGGATTGCACACTCCTTAGGAGAATCTAATTCCTGATGATCTGTTGCTGTCTCCCATCACCCCCAGATGGGACCATCTAGTTGCAGGAAAACAAGCTCAGGGCTCCCACTGACTCTATATTATGGTGAGTCGTATAATTATTTCATTATATATTACTGTGTAATATAATAGAAATAAAGTGCAGAATAAATGTAATGTGCTTATAAAACATCATCCTGAAACCATTCCCTGCCCAGCCCCACTGCCGCCCCGTGCTCCATGGAAAAATTGTCTTCCACGAAACCAGTCCCTGGTACCAGAAAGGTTGGGGACCACTGCTCTAGAGGCTCTAGGGGAGAACCCATTTCCTGCGTTTTTCATCTTGTAGAGGCCACCAGCCTTCCCTGACTGTGGCTTGTTCCTCCATCATCAACACCAGCAGGGCAGCATCTTCCAGTCTCTCTGTATGTTATCTCCTCCCTGCTACACACACGCTCCCTTCTTCTCTCATCTCATCCCATCCTTCTTTGAACTGACCCTCCTGTTTCCCTTTTATAAGGACCCCTGTAATCACAGTGGGCCCACCCAGCATCATCCCCCATGTCAGGATCCTTGCCTTCCTCACAGCTGCAGAATCCCTTTTGCCATGTAAGGGAGTAGATCCAGAGGTTCTGGGGATTAGAACACAGACCCCTTTCTTGGGAGAGCAGGAAGTTAATCATCTGTCTACCACAGAGGCCCAAGAGCCAAAGACTCCCTCCAACTTGATTTTTTGACGGAACCCGAACTCACCCTGAATGTCCAGTGCCCCCATCCCTGCCCATTCACACCCTTCACTCCTTTTATCTTTTGGGTTCATGTCATGGAGGTCACACATGGAAACCTCCAGAAGCTGGCTTTATGGAGTTACGTTTTATTCTATAAATCTGGAGAAAGGAGGCTTTCTCGTCTTATAAAAAGGACACATGACATTGCTTTGTACCTTGATTTTTTTTTCACTTAAATTTATTGGAGATAATCTCTCTGAATACCTAGAAATCTTTTCAGGGGTTCTTTGTTTTGGTTTTGGTTTGGGGTTTTTTTTTCCTGGCTACATGTTTCTTTGTTATTTATTAAGTTGCTGCAAAAGTAATTGCAGGTTTTGCCATCGAAAGTAATGGCAAAAACCGCAATCACTTTTGCACCAACCTTAAAGCTATCACATAGTTTATTCACCCAATCCCCTACTGATGGTCACTTGTGGTGTTTTCAATCCTCTGCGATTATATGAAGTGCCACAGCGAATCATCTTACACGTGTCTTTCAGTATTTGTGTACCTTTGAGATAGATTTCTAGAAGTGGGTTCTAGGAAAGAACAAATGTTTTTTGCAGGTTTGCTTGACATCAGCACGTTTCCTTCCCTAGGGGTTACCCCCAGCAGTGTGTGAGAATGAAGAGTGTGGGCCACTGTGTCTCTGTTGACCTGCCAGATAGGAAATAGCGCCAGAGTTGCTGCAATCCACGTCTCCCTGGTGAGTAAGGTCATTGTCGATTCCATCAAGGGTATTGTCCTTGGGATGATAGTAGGGAAGCCAGATTGCACCGTGTGAGGACTCAGGAAAGGGGACAGAGTGAAGAGCTGTGGCTGGGATGGGGGATACAGACGGGGCAGTAACCGGAAAGAAAGCTGTACCCCAAGGATGGGCTCATCGCACTACAGAAGATGCCACATCAGGCTTGAGGGGCATGAGGAAGGGTCTAGCAGCACGGGAGAGCTAGAAGGGAAAGGGCGGAGGAGAGAGCTTCGAGCACAGACAGCTCCTCAAAAGCAGGAGGGTGGACCCCAGGCCAGAACTGCCCAGCAAGCCCTGCGGAGAAGGCAGGCAGCTCCTTGTCTGCGATGGGAGGAGGCAGAAGGGTGGGGCACAGGTTGCAGTGCTGGCAGCAACACAGGAAAGTAGATTCCTCCTCATGATCTTTACCCTGAGAAGCAGGATCGGGATTGTCTGCTGAAAATGAGATGATTTGTCATCTCTTGCTGCCTAACAAATGATCTCAAACCTTAGTCACTTGAAACAATGACCATGTATCGTCTCTCACTGTTTTTGTGTTTCAGGAATTCAGGAGCAGCTTGGCTGGAAGGCTCTGGCTGGAAACTTGCAGAAGGCTGTCAGCTGGGTCTGCATCATCTGAAGGCTCAACGGGTACCGGGGGCCACTCCATGGCCTGCGAGTCAGAGCTGGCCGTCGGTGGGAGGCCTCAGTTCCTCTCCACATAGGCCTCTCCACAGGGCCACTTGAGCGTCTTCCCACCATGGCAACTGGTGTCCTCTAGAGCAACATCCAGGAGACCAAGGCGGAAGCAGCTGTAGTGCCTTCCAAGACCTGGTCCTGAAAGTCACCCCTGCACCCACCCCCGCTGTCTCCTCAGCCATATTCTGCTGGTCACACAGGTCAGCTCTAATTCCGTGTGTGCGTCGGGCCTACACAGGGTGTGAGCACCGGGAGGCTGGGATCGTCAAGGGCTCGTTAGGAAGCAGTTACCACAGAGGGGACAGGGGAGGAGGTGTGAAGTTTAAAGAGAGGAGAGGAGGTTTGACGAGTGGGAAGCCATGCTGACCTGTGGGATCGCCCTGCAGGCTGAGGGTTCTCTACACGTTGGTGACCGTGTTATTCCAGAGTGGCAACGTCACAGCCTTTGCACAGGGTGGTCTGCCCGAATGTCCCCTGGAGCAGGTGGATGATTGAAGTCACGCCTGGCTGGAGTTCTGCTGGGCTGGCATGACAGTGGGGGGTAGGGAGGAGGAAATCAGCTGAAATGAGGGACAGTGACATCCAAGCTGGGTGAGGATGAAATCAAGAGAGGGGGTGGCTGAGGCAGGAGAGGGGGTGACCAAGGCAGAGCATAGGTAGGAGAGGGGCTGACTGAGGCAGGAGGGGGGTGACTGAGGCCGAGCACAGGCAGGAGCAGGGTGACCAAGGGCAGGAGTTGGGGTAACAGGCAGAACATGGGCAGGAGAGGGGGTAACTGAGGCAGAGCACAGGCAGGAGGGGGGTGACCAAGGCAGGAGGGGGGTGACCGAGGCAGGAGGGGGGTGACCGAGGCAGGAGGGGGGCTGACTGAGGCAGGATGGGGGTGACCGAGGCAGGAGAGGGGTTGACTGAGGCAGGAGGGGGGTGACCGAGGCAGGAGGAGGTGACTGAGGCCTGCGTGTGGTCGGAGGACATGCGGTGAGAGAAAAAAGGAGTGAACGCCGTGGAAGTTGAGGAGGGAGGTTGGGTTCAGAGAGAGGGGAGTTTCTGAACGTTGTTCTGGGTGGTGGGACAGTGCCCGGTGATGACCAAGGCTGAGGGGACCTGTGGAAACATGTGGCTGATGAGAGAAGGAACAAAGGGCCCTGGAGCTGAGGAACTCCTGAGACTCTGGGGGTCTCTGACATCCTCCAGGAGCTGGGACTGGAGGTGGGAGGAGTTATGGAGGCGCCGGAGTCCCCGGGGAAGGAGGGAGTAGCCGGGAATGCGTTTGTGGTGCGCTTGGATGGGAAGAACATGCCGTGAGACTGCGTGAAGCCGAGGTTCTCAAAGCGGGTGGGTCAGGGAGGTACTGGTCGTTGTGTTGGGGACAGAGGAAGGCAAGTTTTCCATCAGGTGGCCCTGAATTCATTGCCTGCTCAGCAAAATAAAGGCCCAGTGTGGAAGCCGGAACTTGCATTTGAAGAAGGATGGGAAGGATGGGTTGAGGAGGGCCCATCCCCAGCAGCCCGAGAGGGAGGAGGCCACGGAGACTTGGAGCATTCCCGTTTCTTCCAGAGCGCTGCGGGATAAAGGAGGAGCGTCCTGCTTCCCGGCTGCCCTGTTGCTGTCGGAGTCACAGGATGGCGGCTGTCATCCTGCCCTCGACTGCTGGTGAGTCGTGGGGTCCTGACATTTCTCAGAGTCCAGCCTTGAAAGGTTCTGACCCACAGCATGGGACACGAGCGGGGTTGGGCAGAGCAGGTGAGGCAGGAGTGGAGCCCCAGGGGCCCAGAGGTCCTCCGTGTCTGATCGGGCAGCTCTCGGGATTTGGGACTTAGGCATTTGGGTGTCTGTGGATGTCACCTGTGTGGTGAATGTGCTGGAGCTTTTGAATTCTCCCTTTAGTTCTTTCTGTGAATCTGATAAAAACACAGTGACGCCCTTGGAACTTGTTTCCTCATCTGTGAAGTGGGAATAATCCCTTCCCCAAGTGCAGTCAGACCTTGAGCCCTATTGTCTTTGGTTGGTGAGACAGGGCTGTGTTTGGGTATCTTAGGAGAGCTGTGGGTAGGTGTTTGCATGGAGCGTAGGTGGGCACTGTGTGGTGCCTCATCCGTGTGGGTGTGGGAGGTGGGTGTGGTCAATCAGGGGCAGATCTGTGGGTGTCAGACAAGCCTGAATCCATGGGACTCATTTCTCCTCCTCCAGCTCCGTCTTCCCTGTTCCCAGCCTCTCAGCAAAAAGGACACACACAGGGCGGAGAGCTGGTTAATGAGCTCCTGACAAGCTGGCTACGGGTGAGTCAGATGTTCCTTTTCCCAAATCATTATTCCTTTGGCCAGAAGGTTGGACTTGATACCTTCCAGCAGCCTGGAGCCTCATGGCCAAACCAGGTCCTCAGGCATCCCAGGATTTCCAGGCATCAGATGGAGGGTGAGGGCTGCCCAGAAAATGTCAGTGTGTGTCAACATTTACTGCAGGTTCAGAGCTCCCTCCAGGGTCCCTGAGTACATCATGTGCTCCTGAGAGTTTTAAGGGAAAGCCAAGTAAAGACGTGATGATGTTCTAAACCCAAGCAATTAATAAACGCCACGGAAATCAGTCATTCACTTACCAAGTATTTCTCTGCTTTCTGCCATGTCACGGGCCCATGATCCCCTGGAGATTGAGGGAAATAAGATCACAGGAGCTCCCAGTCTGAGTGAGAAAAGGCAGCTGCTCTGTGGTACTGTGCACTGGACCTGGGAATGGCCTAAGGAGACAAGCATTGAGGGCTGAGCTCAGAAGCCAGGGAGAAGAGCTCAGAACCCCAGGAGAGGAGCTCAGAACCCTGGGAGAGGAGCTCAGAACCCTGGGAGGTGAGCTCAGAACCACCCCCCCCAACATCTCGTGCTCAGGTTTCCCCAGCCCTGGCTCTGTTCTCCTGGCCCCTCTTCCTGTGCACGTTGGTGGGGGTGGTCCTTGGCTAAGCCGTGATGTTTGCAATGCTTTAGGGCTTGGTAACCTTCGAGGATGTGGCCGTGGAGTTCACCCAGGAGGAGTGGGCGTTGCTGGACCCTGCCCAAAGGACACTGTACAGGGATGTGATGCTGGAGAACTGCAGGAACCTGGCCTCACTAGGTAAGCCTAATGTCATTCCTGCATTTATTTAATGACTCCAGTGGCAACACTTGCCTGCTTTGCTTACTTTTTTTATTGTGGTAAAATCCATACAACATAAAATTCACCATTTTTAACCATTCTAAGATATCCAGTCCAGTGGTTTTTCATACATTCATGGTATTGTGCAACCATCAACACTATCTAATATCACCATATTTTCATCACCCTGAAGGAAACCCCGTCCCTATGAAGCAGCCAATACCCGTTACTTTCCCTACCCACTGCTGCTGGTAACCACTCATCTGGTGTCTGTCTTTAGGAATTTACCTATCCAGAACATATCATATAAATGTAATTACAAAATACATTACCTTTTGTGTCTGACTTTTCATGTAGCACAGTGTTTTAAAAACTTAGCTATGGGCCAGGTGTGGTGGCTCACACCTGTAATCCCAGCACTTTGGGAGGCCGAGGCGGGCGGATCACGAGGGCAGGAGTTCGAGACCAGCCTGACCAACATGGTGAAACCCCATCTCCACTAAAAATACAAATTAGCCGGACGTGGTGGCACACACCTATCCCCAGCTAGTCAGGAGGCTGAGGCAGGAGAATCGCTTGAACCAGGAGGCAGAGGTTGCAGTGAGCTGAGATTGTGCCATTGCACTGCAGCCTGGGCAACAGAGCACAACTGTGTCTCAAAAAAAACAAAACAAAAAAACTTAGCTATGTTGTATGTTGTACCAGCGCTTCATTCCTTATGACTGAATGATATTCCATTGTATGGACATACCACATTTTGCCAATCCATTTTTCTATTGAGAAACATTTGAGTTGTTTCCACTCTTTGACTATCAAGAATAATGCTATAATACTATGAATTTTTGTGTACGAGCTTTTGTTTAAATGCCCACTTTCCATTTTCTTGGGCATATACTAGGAGTGGAAGGCTAGGTCTGTGTTTAGCTTCTTGAGGAACTGCCAGACTTTTCCACAGCAGCTGCACCATTGCACGTTCCCGCCAATGCAGGAGGGTTCCAGCTTCTCTGCATCTTCCCAGCACTTGCCTTTTTGATTATACTCATACCAGTAGGTATGAAGTGCTATCTCGTTCTTGTTTTGATTTGCATTTTTCTAATGACAAATGACATGGAGCATCTTTTCATGTACTTGTTGAGTATTTTTCTTTGGAAAAATGTCTATTCAAGTCCTTTGCCCATTTTTGTTATTGTTGTTATTTGTTTGTTTGCTTGTTTTGACACAGTCTCCCTCTGTCGCCCAGGCTGGAGTGCAGTGGCGCAGCACGATCTCGGCTCACTGCAACCTCTGCCTTCCGGGTTCAAGTGATTCTCATACCTCAGCCTCTCAAGTAGCTGGAATTACAGGCATGTGCCACCATGCCTGGCTAAATTGTTTTGTATTTTTTATAGAGACAGGGTTTCGCTGTGTTGGCCAGGCTGGTCTCAAACTCCTGGCCTCAAATGATCCGCCTGCCTTGGCCTCCCAAAGTGCTGGCATTACAAGTGTGAGCCACCGCTCCCAGTCCTCTGCCCATGTTTTACTTGGGTTGTTTATTTTTGTTGTCGGATTTTAAAAGTTCATTTTATATTCTGGGTACCAAATCCTTATTCAAAATATAATACATAAATGATTTCTCTATTCTTTGGGTGTCTTTTCATTTTCTTGATAGTGTCCTTTGATGCACAAAAGTTTTAATTGTGACCAGGCAGAGTGGCTCACGCCTGTAATCCCAGCACTTTGGGAGGCTGAGATGGATGGATCACTTAAGGTCAGGAGTTCAAGACCAGCCTGGCCAACTTAGTGAAGCCCCATCTCTACTAAAAATGCAAAAATTAGCCAGGCGTGGTGGCAGGTGCCTGTAATCCCACCTACTCGGGAGGCTGAGGCAAGAGAATCACTTGAACCTGGGAGGCAGAGGTTGTAGTGAGCCGAGATCCACTATATTCCAGCCTAGGCGACAGAACGAGACTCCGTCTCAGAAGACAAAAAAAATTTTAATTGTGATGAAGTCTGTTGTATCTAGTTTTTCTTTTTTGCTTGTGCTCTTGGTGTGATACCTAAGAAACCATTGCTCAAGTCAAGGTCATGAAGATCTACCCCTATGTTTTCTTCCAAGAATTTTCTAGTGTTAACAATTCCACTCAGCTGTGTGATAGATTTTGAGTGAATTTTGCTTATGGTGTGGAGAAAGGGTCAACTTCATTCTTTTGCATGTGTGTATATCCAGTTGTCTCACCACCTTTATTCTTTCCCCATCAAATGACCTTGGTACCCTTATTGAAAATTATGTGGCCATACACACTGGAGTTTATTTACATACTCTCAATTCTGTTCCATTGGTCTGTATATCTCGAACTCCTGACCTCAAGTGATCCGCCTACCTGGGCCTCCCAAAGTGCAGGGATTACAGGCATGAGCCACTGCTCCTGGCTCCATTGGTCTATGTATCTGTCCTTGGGTCAGTACCACAATGCCTTGATTATTGTTACATTGTAGTAAGTTTTGATAACAGTAAGTGTAAATCTTTCTACTTTATTCTTCTTTTTCACTTCTTGTCTGTTCAAGATCCCTCGCAATGCCATGAATTTTCAGATCAGTTTGTGTATTTCTGAAAGGAAAAAAAACTCAGAATTTTGATAGTGATTGTTTTATCTCTGTAGATAATTTTGGGTAGTATTGTCACCTTAACAATATTAAGGCTTCCAATACATAACTTTATTATTTTTTTTGAGACAGAGTCTCACTCTGTCACCAGGCTGGAGTGCAGTGGTGCGATCTCGGCTCACTGCAACCTCCGCCTCCCAGGCTCAAGTGATTCTCCTGCGTCAGCCTCCCGAGTAGCTCGGACTACAGGTGCGCACCACCACGCCCAGCTAATTTTTGTATTTTTAGTAGAGATAGGGTTCCACCATGTTGGCCGGGATGGTCTCAATCTCTTGACCTCGTGATCCACCCACCTCGACCTCCCAAAGTGCTGGGATTTCAGGCGTGAGCCACTGCGCCTGGCCCTGTTACTCATTTTTAATTTCATTCCATTGTGGTTAAGGAAGATACTTTGTATGAGTTCATTGTTTTTTAATTTAGTCAGACTTTTTTTATAGCCTAACATATAATCTATCCTGGAGAATGTTCCATGTGCATTTGAGATGAATATGGATTCTCTTGTTGGGTGGTGTGTTCTTTATATATTTGTTAGGTCTAGTTAGTTTATTGTTTAATCCTTCTGTTTCCTTTTTGATCTTCTAATATGTTGTTTTATCCATTATTGAAAGTGGAGTATTGAAGTCTCAAACGATTATTATAGAACACTCTATATCTTCCTTCAATTATGCCAGTTTTTACTTCATACATTTTGGAGTTCTTATTAGGCACATATATGTTTATAATCGTTACATTTTCTCCATAAATTGATGCTTTATACAACTATAATGTCTTTCTCTGTTTTATAACAATTTTTATTGTATGAAATATCTTTTTCCATTCTTTCACTATTGGCCATATTTGTGTCTTTGAATATAAAGCAAGTGTCTTATAGACAGTATGTACACATGCTCCGCAACTTTGATGGGGCTATGTCCCAATAAAGCCATTGTAAGTTAAAAATACCATAAGTCAAAAATGCAAAACAATGAAAAAAAAAAAAGTCAAAAATGCATTTAATTCACCTAACCCACTGAACATCATAAGTTAGCCTAGCCTAAACATGCTCAGAACACTTACATTAGCCTACAGTTGGGCAGTGGGCTAACATAGCAGTGTATTTTAAATAAAGTATTGAATATCTCAACAATTATAAATTATATATTTAATATGGTACTGAAAGTGAAAAATAGAATGGTTGTAGGGTACTTGAAGTGTGCTTTCTACTGAATGCGTATGATCTTTGTACCATCATAAAGTTAAAAAATCATACCATGGTAAGCTGGGGACCATCTGTAATTGGGTTATTTTTTAAATCCATTCTGCCAAAATCCACCTTGTAATGATGTAATTACTGATAAGGAAGGAGCTACTTCTGCCTATTTACTATTTGCTCTATAACTATTTACTTTTTTCTACGTGTCATATCATTTTTGTTCCTAAGTTCTTTCATTGTTGTTTTGTGTTAGATATTTTCTAGTGGACCATTTTGATTCCCTTCTCATTTCTTTTTAATCTTTTTAGTTATTTTCTTAGTGGTTGCCCTGAGAATTTTAATAAGCATTTTAATTTATAACAATCTAGTTTAATAGCAACTTAGTTTCAATAGTATATAAAAACTTTGTTTCACTGTAGCTGTTCTGTTTAGTAATTTTGTCACAAATTGCATCTGTATGCATTGTGTGCCCATTAATGTAGATGTGTAATCATTTATGCTTTTGTCTTTAAATTATGTAGTAATAAAAGAGAAGTTATAAACCAAAAACACATTGTCAGTGACTTTTATATTCACCTCTGTATTTACCTTTACCTGTGTTCTTCACTTCCTTCTGTGGATTCAAGTTACTCTCCATTATCTTTTCATTTTGTCCTGAAGTCACCCTTGATCATTTTTTGTAGGGTAGATGTAATAGTGACAAACACTCAGTCTTTGTTTATGGGAAGGTCTTCATTTCTTTATTTTTGAAGGGGAGTTTTGCCAGATATAGAATTCTTGGTTGCCATTTTTTCTCAGCTCTTTGAATGTACCACTCCAGCGCTTGGTGGTTTCCATGGTTTCTATTGAGAAATTGACTGTAATCTTACCGAGGATCCTGTTTACGTCATAAGTCATCTCCGTCTTGCTGTTTTTAGGATGCTGCCTTTGTCTTTCAACAGTTTGATTAATATGTGTTTGATGCCGGCTGCAATGGTTCACGCCTATAATCCCAACACTTTGGGAGGCTGAGGCAGAAGGACCCCTTGAGGTCAGGAGTATGAGACCAGCCTGGGCAACTTGGACCCTGTCTCTACAAAAAATTAAAAAATTAGTCAGACGTGCTGGTGCACACCTATGGTCCCAGCTTCTTGGAAGGCTGAGGTGGAAGGATTGCTTGACCCCAGGAGATTAAGGCTGCAGTGAGCCATGATCACACCACTGCACTCCAGCGTGGGTGACAGAATAAAACCCTGGCTCAAAAAATGTGTGTGTGTGTGTGTGTGTGTTTCAGTATGAATCTCTATTTTTTCAAATTTATTCTACTTGAGTTTGTTGAGCTTCTTGGATTTGTACATTTGTGCCTTTCATCAAATTTTGGGAAGTTTTTAGCCATTATTTCTTCAACCTTCTCACCCTTTTCTCTCTTTACATCTCTCTGGTTCTCCACATCCTATATATGTTGGTAGGTTCGATGGTATCCCAAAGGTCTCAGGCTCTGTTCATCTTTTTTAAAACTCACATTCTCTCTCTCTCTCTCTCTCTCTTTATCTTTGAGACAGGTTCTCACTCACTCTGTCACCTAGGCCGGAGTGCAGCAGAGTGATTGTGGCTTACTGCAGCCTTGACCTCCTGGGCTCAAGTGATCCTCCCACCTCAGCCTCCCAAATAGGGAGGCATGGCTAGAGACGTGCATCACCATGCCCAGCTAATTTTTTTAATTTTTTGTAGAGTCAGGATCTCACCATGTTTCCCAGGCTGGTCTTGAACTCCTGGTTGCAAGCAGTCCTCCTGCCTCAGCCTCCCAAAATGCTGGGATTATACATGAGCCATTGCACCTGGCATCTCTCTTTTTTCTGCTCCTCAGACTGGATAATATCGATTGTCCTATCTTCATGGTCACCAATTTTGTCTTCTGCCTGCTCAGATATGTTCTGAATGTTTCATTTCAGCTATTGTACTTTTCAACTCAAATTTTTTTATTTGCCTTCCTAAAGTTTCTGTCTCTTAATGTTTTCCATTTTTTGTATTTTTTTGATATGCCATAGTTGTACCTATTTTGCTGTTTTTCATTTGATGAAAATTTGTATTCATGGTTTCCTTTAGTTCTTTATACATATTTCTTTTACATCTTTTAGCAGATTTTAAATAGTTGACTTATTTTACTTGTCTAGTTAAGTCCAGTGTTTGAACTTCTGAAGGGACAATTTCTACCAGCTTCATTTTTCTTGTAATGGGCCCAACGTTTGTTTCCTTGCCTCCCTCATAATTATTTTGTTGAAACTAGGGTATTTGGAATATTATAATATAGCAATTTGGGAATCAGACTTTTCCCCATCTCCAGAGTTTGTTTTACTTGTTGTAGTTGGTATTGTATCTATAGAACATACAACAGTTCTAAAGTTAGTTGTGAAATAGAACTATTGTGTGTTCTAAAGTTGTAGAATATCATATATTGTAAACTCCTGTTAGAATATACAATAGTTCTATTTCAGAACTAACTTTGTAATGTCTGTATTTGTCATGTGTGGCCACCGAAGTCTCTTTTCTGATAGCGTAATGGTCATATAGTGATTTGAAGGCCTGGAACAAAAAAGGAAAAAACTTCTAGTCTCTTTACGTGGGCTCTGTGTGTACATAGGGACATGCCTTTAATACTTAGGTAGGCATTTAACTGTGCCTTGACCTTCATTTCTGGCTTGTGCAGAGCCTGAAGGTCACCAAAAGATGAGGGTTTTGTGCCTTCTCAGGTATTTTCTGGGCATGCTCCCAGCCCTGAGTATGTGCTTGGAATTACAGGTTCTTAAGAATATGAGGAAGATTTTCAAAGTCCTACTCCCCAAACATCTTTTTCCCCATTTTTCCTTTCAGGCTTTTCGGTTAGTCTTTTGTTTGCTTCTACTGTTTTCTCTTGCCTCAAGCAGTACTGACTAATACATTTACCTTTACATCTGTCGATCACGTGTGTTCCAGGTAACCAGCTCAGTCCTGAAAGAATTTGGAGTTAGATAAATAAAGACAACCCTTTGAGCCAGTCCTTCAGGGAACCACCAGACAGGTCAGGAAGAGCAACCACAGAGTAAGGTCTGTTCTGCTCCCTGCAAGTACTAGGAATGCAGGCTGTTGTCTTCAAGGTTGTAGAAAAAGCAGGGGAAAGAGGTCCATTTAAAGTATCATAAAGCTCTCTTACCCAGATTCAGCTGGGTTTTCTGAGAAGGCATTCTCCTGATTGCTGTGGACTTTTGATACATTTCAAGAATTCCGATAAAGTTGATTCGGACCGCTTTTGCCAGTTTACTCACTGTTTTTGTGGAGGGATGAACGTTTGGAATTCCGTCCTCCACCACTGTCACTGTCATCACTTCTTTCAAGTTTTCTTGAGCACCTCTGTGTTCCTAGGTCTGTGCAGTGACTTGGGAGTACAGTGATGAATGGGACCATATGGTCCCACCCTCATGGGCAGTCTCTAATTCCTGCCTTATGAACTGAAGATCTATTTCTTGTCCTGACTTTATATTCTTCATGGTTAAAAGTTTTGGGGCCTCTGAAGTGTGCATTTGAACTCAGGCATGGCCTTCTGGGGCTGTTTATGCCCTATCACCCTGAATATCTAGTTGAATATGCTTGTTGCATTTTTGTTCAGTGAGAGTTACCATATGCACTAGAATTAAGGTATAATTGGCAGGGCGTGGTGGCTCATGCCTGTAATCCCAGCACTTTGGGAGGCCAAGGTGGGTGGATCACGAGGCCAGGAGATCAAGAGATCAAGACCTGCCTGGCCAATATGGTGAAACCCCGTCTCTACTAAAAATACAAAAATTAGCCGGGCGTGGTTGTGTGCACCTGTAGTCCCAACTACTTGGGAGGCTGAGGCAGGAGAATCGCTTGAACCTGGAAGGCAGAGGTTGCAGTGAGCCGAGATCATGCCACTGCACTTCAACCCGGGCGACAGAGCAAGACTCCATCTCAAAATAAATAAAAAAAAGAAAAGAATTAAGGCATAATTTATTTCACTGCTCCTAAAGTCACACTTTTCCATCTTCATAAATGTTGGCTTTCTTTCATGGACTTGGTTGTCCCCAGCACTGTTACCTATATCATGTGTATTGTTTCCATAAATAGGGTGTCGTGTTAATAAACCCAGTCTGATATCCCAGTTGGAACAAGACAAGAAGGTGGTGACAGAGGAAAGAGGAATTCTACCAAGCACCTGTCCAGGTGAGCACCAGGTGGATATGAGCCCTTGTGAGGAATAGCTCTGGCCAGTGACTTGGGGGTTGGGAGTATTACATTAGTTCATGTCAATCAGGGAACTTTGTAAAATACCCTGTTCCTGACAAACATGCACGAGAACATTTGGTGTGAGCTTCCTCATGTCCTTTCTTTTCTCTCTAACTCCCTTGTCATCATCTCATACTTCACTTTGGGCTCAGGGAAGAAACAAAGATGCAACTCTTTTGAAAATTTCAGTCAAGTTCCTTTCCACTTTGCATTCCTGATCACTCCTCTTGTCAATCTGTGATCAATCTCAATTTGTCTAGAATCCTTTTTTAAAATTAATACCTAAAATTTTCATAACCAAATCCTCTTTGTTGCAAACATCCTCAAAAACCCTGATCCCTCAGAATCTGCCTTTACTCATGTGTACACTTTTCCATTTCTTTTCTCCATCAACCTAAATTTCTTTTCAATTTGTTTCAGATTTGGAGACTCTACTTAAAGCCAAATGGTTAACTCCTAAGAAGAATGTTTTCAGAAAAGAACAGTCTAAAGGTGTAAAAACGGTAAGACTAACATGGGTGATTTCTGGTTTTCTACAGTAGGAGAATGCCTTAAGTTTAGAAAGGGCACAAAATAACCAGGAGAGGCATTAAAGGAAAGTGTCATTTATAATTGAGAATGCTGTGTTCCTGGAGAGACACTGTGAAAATTATAAATATTTAGAGAAGTGTGAGTTAGCTCCAAACTTATTTCTTCACGGAGAGTTCCCACAAGTAAATATTTCCTATCTGTGGCTCAGATATTGACTGTTGGAACAAAACTTCATCCACACGTTATCAGAAAATGTTTTGTGCATCTGATAAGGACTTGTGGCAAAGCATCTATGTTTTTTAACTTTCTTAGAGCTAAAACTGGGCAGAAATCACATACAACCACTGAAAGTAGCCAAAATATCAATTATAATAATGTAACAGAATTCCTGGGAGAGAAGATTCCTAGGAGAACATTAAGTATTTCAAATATTATAAATTATAGTTATCATTCATCTCTTAATCCACAGGAAAGAAGTCATCGTGGAGTGAAACTCAATGAATGTAATCAGTGTTTTAAAGTCTTCAGCACGAAATCTAACCTAACTCAGCACAAGAGAATTCATACTGGAGAAAAACCCTATGACTGTAGTCAATGTGGGAAGTCCTTCAGTAGCAGATCTTACCTTACTATTCATAAGAGAATCCATAATGGGGAGAAACCCTATGAATGCAATCACTGTGGGAAAGCATTTAGTGATCCCTCATCCCTTAGACTGCATTTGAGAATTCACACTGGAGAAAAACCCTATGAATGTAACCAGTGTTTTCACGTTTTCCGCACCAGTTGTAACCTCAAAAGCCACAAGAGGATTCACACGGGGGAGAATCACCATGAATGTAATCAGTGTGGAAAAGCTTTCAGCACAAGGTCCTCTCTCACTGGGCACAATAGCATTCATACAGGGGAGAAACCTTATGAATGTCACGATTGTGGGAAAACCTTCAGGAAGAGCTCCTATCTGACACAGCACGTAAGAACTCATACTGGAGAAAAACCCTATGAATGTAACGAGTGTGGGAAATCCTTCAGCAGTAGCTTTTCTCTTACTGTGCACAAGAGAATACATACCGGAGAGAAACCCTACGAGTGCAGTGACTGTGGAAAAGCCTTTAATAATCTCTCAGCTGTGAAGAAACACTTAAGAACTCACACTGGAGAAAAACCCTATGAATGTAATCATTGTGGGAAATCCTTCACAAGTAACTCCTATCTTTCTGTGCACAAGAGAATACATAATAGATGGATATGAATTACTGCAGGAACTTCTGGAGGAAAGCACTCATTGATCTTTCATCCCTAAGATAGTTTGAGAGAGCTCACACTGGATATATAAGTTATTTGTTGCAGCATAACAAATGATCCCCGCAAATTTTGTGGCTTCAAACACGAAATGTTTATTCTCTAACAATTTCTACAGATCAGGAATTCAAGAACAGCTTATCTCTGTAGTTACACTGCAGGATCTCTCATGCCTTTACTTACAATCAAGATGTCAGCCAAAGCTATAGTCATCTAACATCTTTACTGATGAACAGTCCACTTCCAAGATGACTTATTCACATGCCTGGAAAGTTGATGTTGGTTGTTGTCAGGGGACCTTCAGTCATTACCATGTAGGCCTCTTTACAAGGCCCAGCTCCTTGACAATTTGGCAATAAGTTCTCGCCAAGGTTAGTGATCCAAGAGAGGACCAATACAGAGGCCAAAATGGCTTTTATGACCTATCCTCAGGAGGACTGCTAAGCTTTCACTTATTTCCTATTGTGTTGGTCTCACAACACACCAATCCTGATACAATGTGAGAGACTGCAGAAGGTATGAATACCAGGAAACAGATAACTCAGAAGCATCTGGGAAATTTGCCATGGAATTAATGAAGAAAAGCCCTCAGCACATCATCCTTCTACTCTAATCAATATGAAATAGCATTCAGTAACTCCTATTAATTCACTCTGAAGAGAAACCTTTTGAGGACAATCTGTATGGTAAAGCTCTCAGCTCGAATTCTCACCTTCATGGGCCCAGAAGATTATGTACTGAGAGAATCCTGAAGAATGGAACAGCTGTAGAAAGCCTTCAGTGCTATCAGCAGGGATTCATGTGACAGCTCACACTAAGGGAGAAAACCTGTGAAGGTCTCAGAAGGCTTCAGTGACAGTCATCCCTTAAGACGCACTGGAAATCACACAATGGAACAACACTCAGAAATGCGGAATACCCTACAGCAAAAGTGTTCACATTACTGAGCAAACTATAGTGTGGTATTCTGCAGTGACTATGGGAAAGCCTTGAATGTTCTATCGGTTTTTAAGGGACTTGAGAATTAATTCTGGAGAGAATGCCCCATTGAACATCATCAATATTGGAGAGCTTTCTGTTTTTCTACATTTGTTAGGAAACTTGTGAGCATTCACACTACAGAGAAACTTGAAATATAAAGAAGAAGAGAAAGCCTTCAGTGATGCCTCTGTGTTAGGGAAAATATGGAACTTCTCCCTGGATGCAAAACCTATGAGTATATTAATATTGGAAAATTTTTCAGTGATTCTTCTCTTTCTTGTATATGAGAGAACTTATATGGAGAAACCCCTAGGAATGTAATCAGTGTTAGGATGCCTCAGCCTGAACTCTTCACTGAGTGGCCACAATTTTCACTGGGAACAAAAAGTATAATCACTGTTTTGAGTGTGGGATATCCTTTATCAGTGTCTCATCTGTAGATTGGACTGCTGGCTCATTAATTTTTTTAGTCTTTTTTTCTTTTAATATAAACATTTGTGTATAGCTGTTCCCTAAAATAAACATTAACATATTTCATAATTTTAATGCAATGTATTTATTATAATTAATTTGCTTGTTAAAGACATCCACACATTGCATATTCAAAAAGTTATTTCCAAATACCTTCTGAGTGATTCAGTTTATCATAATGGAAATTAGTATTTATAAACACATTTTTCTAATGTAGTGGTATTTTTGGCAGAGTACATGAGCTTTATGATACTGATTATTTTCTCTCTATCTTGGTATGCCAAATACTGTTGGTTTCTTTCCCAGTGTCCGTTCTCTTCAGTTTATTCGTTTAAAGAAACAAACATGTTGTTCAAGTTGTCTGTGAACAATATCGAAAGTTCTCAATCTTATAGTTTTTCCTGAAGCCCAGGCGGGTTTTTTCGCACTCCCCTGGCAATGAGAAGTAAGTCGAAGTCACTGTGTGGAACATCTCCTGGCTTGTTCTCCTCACATATTTTCCATTCACCTCACCCATTCTGTCTCTTGGAAAGTGGCCTCAAGGTCTAGAGTTTGAAGAGCTTCTTTTTGACCACAATGACAGAAACCAAAGTGCAGCCAAAAATCACAATGCTTTGGGCTCTCCAGGAGCCTCCGATTGGCTGCATCTGCTCTGGACTCCTTATTCTTATACTTCTTATGTGACTAAAAGAAACCCCTAGGCTGGGTGTGGTGGCTCACGCCTTTAATCCCAGCACTTTTGAGAGGCTGAGGTGGGTGGATCATGAGGTCAACAGATTGAGACCATCCTGGCCAACGTGGTGAAACCCTATCTCTACTAAAAGTATAAAGATTAGCTGGGTGTGGTGGTGCACACCTGTATTCCCAGCTACTCGGGAAACTGAGACAGGAGAATTGCCTGAACCTGGGAGGTAGAGGTTGCAGTGAGCCAAGATGGCGCCAGTGCACTCCAGCCTGGCAACAGAGCGAGACTCCATCTCAAAATAAACAAATAAATATTTTTAAAAAAAGAAACCCCTAACTGATTGAAGCCAACATGATCTGTTGTTTGTTTTTGAGGTGGTGTTCTGTTAACTTCCAGCAGGATGCAGAATCTAACTGGTAAACCTATAAATTGGTCAAGTTTTACCCATGTTGTTTCTTTGAAAACAATGTATATTCTCTAATATTTGGATATAGGGTATATGAACATTAATGCAACTTAATTGTATTTCCAAGTACAGTACGTATGTTCAGATTTCTTTTTCTAACCTTATTTAGTGATAGAGGTGTGGTAAACTCTTCCATTATGTTTATGTATTAACACTGTAATTTTGTCATTTTTATATATTTTGACATTATGTAACTAGATGCATACAGGATTAGGTATTCTGTATTCCTTTTTATGTGGAGATGATATTTTTACATAGCAAAGTATTGTAATGCATTAATAATAAATGGTCAAACATTTATTTATTTATTTATTTATTTTAGATGGAGTTTCACTCTTGTCATCAAGGGTGGAGTGCAATGGTGCGATCTCGGCTCACTGCAACCTTGGCCTCCCAGGTTCCAGCAATTCTCCTGCCTCAGCCTCCTGAGTAGCTGGGATTACAGGCACCTGCCACCACGCCCAGGTAATTTTTTTATATTTTTAGTAGAGATGGGGTTTCACCATGTTGGCCAGGCTAGTCTCGAACTCCTGATGGTCAGACATTTATATTGCACTTCCCATAGATCAGGCCCCCTTCTAAATGACATATAAGTATTAACTCAGTATGCATTATAAACTTAAGTATGTAATGTTATTATCCCCAGTTTACAGATGAGAAAACTGGTATGATACACTTAAGTTACTTGCCTGCATTCACTGACTGGTAAATGGTAGAGCCAAGATCTGAACCCAGACAGTCCATGCACTTAACCACTACCCTATTAACGGAGTATGTTCTGTGTGCCAGGCAAAGTTTTGCCATTGAAATACTTCACCTAATGGAGGAGGAACAGATTATAGAAAAATCAAGAAAATATGGTATTATAGAGTTATAGGAAAAAAAAGCATTTTAGGAGAGTTAAGGGGGGTTGGGAATAATAATTTTATATAACTAGGAAAAGAAAGCCTCTTGGTAAGGAGCATTTGAGCGGAGATCTCAACAAGTTGGGACAGTGAGTCATATGAATTTGTCTTGCAAGAGTAGTGTTGGCATGCAAAGGCCCACAACAAGGAGGCCAATACAGCTGGAGTGGAACAAAGGGGTGATGAGGGAGCAGTAAAAGATGATGTGGTCAGAGACATGGTAGATCCTGATCTTGTTGGGTTTTCTGAGACATTGTTAGGACTTTTCCTTATTTCAGTGAGTTGGCACATCAGTCAGGGTCCCAGCAGGAACTCAGGTTGACACCCACAGACTAGGACAATTCAAGTAGAGTTTTCATAAAGGGTCTACTCAGTCCTGTGGACAGGATCCAGGGAAACCACAAAAAGTTGTAAAGCACCCAGCAGCTTAGCAGGGCAGAGCTCTAACACCTCACAGCCTGAAGGGACGAAGGGAGGGAGCAACTGAATCTGGAGACGAGAGGAGAGGGCTGCATTCCAGGAGCTGAGAGAGGTCAGTCAGCGATAGCATCCAGCCCCAGGTCCTCCTGCAGGAAATAGCCAGGGTCAGACCTCACTCTCCTTCATCCATTGAGACAGGAAAATATCCCCATTTATGAATATATAAATCAATAGCAGATCCAGAGACAATTTGGGTATTGGAGTTAGCAGACAAAGACTTTAAAATAACCAAGAATAATATGTTAAGGGAAATGGAGGAAACATGGACAAACCATAGAAAATGAGAGACAAACTGCAAATCTACCAAACAACCAAAGAAGAAGGACACATTGCTTTCAAAGCAGCATCAGTAAGACTAATGATGACTTTTCAAAAGAAACTATGGAAGCAAGAAGACAATGAATGACATCTGACATATAAAGGGTTAAATGGGTTGGAGGAGGGGGAAATTGTCAATCAAAAGTTCTGTAACCTAAGAAAATATTCTTCAAAACTGAAGGCAACAATGTTTTCCAATGGGAGGGAATATTTTTTTTTTTTTTTTTGAGATGGAGTCTCACTCTGTCGCCATGCTGGAGTGCAGTGGCATGATCTCGGCTCACTGCAACCTCCTCCTCCTGGGTTCAAGTGATTCTCCTGCCTCAGCCTCCTGAGTAGCTGGGACTACAGGTGTGTGCTACCACGCCCAGCTAATTTTTGTATTTTTAGTGGAGACAGGGTTTCACCATGTTGGCCAGGATGGTCTCGATCCTTTGACCTCACATGATTTGCCCACCTCGGTCTCCCAAAGTGCTGGGATTACAGGCGTGAGCCACCACGCCCGGCCTGGGAGGGATTTTTTTAAGCTGAGAGAATTAACAGCATAACCGTATTTTCAGAAACACTGAAGAGATTTCTTCAGGCTTCAGGAAAATGATTCCATAGAGACATACATAATTCCAGGAATTAAGATCAACAGGAAACATAAGATGCAAGTAAATATAAATCAGTACTGACTGTATAAAACAACCCTGTATAGTTTTACAACTTTTATGTATATCTAAACTTTCCAAAATAAAATGCTTTTAAAAACACATTGCATTGATCTCCCCAAACTAGAGGTGGTGGAAAGCACTGCAGGAGATTTCTCCCCCAACACACACAAACACACAAGACTAGTGATTATGGAAGGCCCAACAAGTGGTGCGTATAGTCTGCATCCAACAATAGAGATGATAGAAGTCCTAGTAAGGGGTCATCAGGCCCCTCCAAAACTAGAGGCAACAAGACCTCAGTTAGCAGGTGTCATCCCCAAACACAAAAGATACTGAGAAAGCAAGACATCCATCCTCCCAAAACTAGAACTGATGGAAATTTCAATAAGCACCTCCAGTTATGTCTGATACTTGAAATGACAGCAATCCCACAAGTGACTTCCTCAGCTGCCCCTCAGCACTAAAGAATGAGGATCCCAAGCCCAGTGACCTACCTCATCTATACCAATAATAAGGAAGACCCAGAAAGTGACTCTAGTAACCCCCTCAACACTAGATAAAATAGGTTAAAAGAGACCCTTCCAAACCCACTGGACAGAGATAAGTGGACCCCCACAGAATAACAACCCATCTTCTTCCCAAACTAAGACAATGGGACCTCCATCCAGGTACACTTCCCTGACTCCCCAATATTTAAAAAATGGGAGTCAAAGGTAGTGATCCTCCAGGCCCTAAAAAACAGGAGCTCGTACCTCCAGCCTCTTAGTTACACCCCTCAACACAATGAGGATTCCATCAGATGAGAACTTCAAGTGACCCCCCTATATTCCTCTAACATTAGATGAAGGAAACCCAAAAAGGCAATTTCCAATCCCCTACATACTAAAGAAAGCTCCAAATTCCACAACACTCTCACTCAACACAAACCCTAGCTTGCCTCCCTTGTCTCCCCAAGAGCAGACACAAATATCCCCAGCAAGGATACCACAGCCTTCCCCCAATACAATCATGAGAATCTCAACAGGCAACCCGCCAGGTTCTACCTCTCATTCGATTATTACAAAATAAGAGTTGACAGAAGCATCAGGAAGCAACACTCTCAACATAAATGAGGAGAGCCCACAGTGTGAGTCCCTCAAGTCTTCCCTAACATAAGATGACTGCCCCTTCAGTGAGCCCTCTTTATTCCAAACACAAGAAACCAGCTGAGCCCTAGTAGGCAACTCTTCAGCTTGCTCTTGCAATGCAGATGTCTGTCCCCACCTGATAGCAGATACGTAGAGCCCCATCAAACCAAGTGTCTCCTTTCCCAGGGAATGTTAGAACATGGAAGACAACAGTAGTCCCAACATGCCAGCATATGCCCCCAAGCTCCCATAATACAGGAGGTGACAGGAGCCCAGGAAGCAAACCTTCCCCCAACATTTTCTGCACCCAGCAGACCGCTCTTATAGGCTGCATTCCCAGCTGACCCTCAGAGCATCAACTGCTCAGAAAGGCCCTGAGAGGAAAAGGAAGGGTGAAGCTGGGGGTGAGGCTGAGAAGAACAGAGAGGGGAGAAAGGGGAAAGGAAACCTTGCAACTTATCCCAAACACAGCCATAAAAATGCCAGAGGCCCCAGACAGCTACAATGAAACCAGGCTCTACAGCAGAAAAAAAAGATAACAGGGGGTGGGGATTTCTGGGCTGATGAGGTGGTCTGGAGGAAAGGTGGATGTGTTCGCTAGCCTTCAAGATGCTCACCAAGGATCCTTGCCACCTGAGATTCCTGTCCTGTGTAGCACCCCACACACACCCCAATATTTAATCAGATGACCCATATAATCAATACAGTGCTGCTGCTGAAGTGACCATGTGTGGCATCTCAGGCCAGGTCATAAGACACACTGAAGCTTCCTCGGTTTCTTCAATTGCTCCCTCCCTGGAGAAAGCCATCCACCATGCCATGAGGACACTCAAGCAGCGCCGTGGCAAAGGACCAACTTTCCAGCACCACATTGCTAGGCAGAAGATGAGCCACCTTGGAAAGAGATCTTCCAGCCCCAAATTTTGAACTCTAATTAATGATATGTATGTTAAAAATGTTTAGGGGAGAAATCTATTGCTGTCTGCAAACTACTTCAAAATGCAAAAAAAAAATAAAAATAAAGATGGGTTGATGAATGATACAGAGATCAATGTGGTCAGGCAAGTATAATAAAGTATCACTGATGGAATCTAGATGGTAGATTATATTAGTTTGGTAGGGCTACTATAAAATACCACAGACTTGCTGGTGAAAAGTAGAAATTTGGGCCAGGCCCAGTGGCTCACACCTGTAATCCAGCACTTTGGGAGGCCGAGGGTGGTGGATCATTTGAGGTCAGGAGTTCTAGACCAGCGTGGCCAACATAGCAAAACCCCGTCTTTACTAAAAATACAAAAATCGTGTGGGCATGGTGGTGCATGCCTGTAGTCCCACCTACTTGGGAGTCTGAGGCAAGAGAATCACTTGAACCTGGGAGGCAGAAGTTGCGGTAAGCCAAGATCGCACCATTGCACTCCAGCCTGGGCAACAGAGTGAGACTCCATTTCAAAGAAAATAAATAAATAAAAAGTAGAAATTTATTTTCCCACAGTCCTGGAGGCTGGAAGTCCAAGATCAAGGGGCTGGCAAGGTTGGTTTCTCCTGAGGTCTCTGCATGGCTTGCAGATGGCTACCCCCTTGCTGCCCCTTCTGTCTGTGCACCACAATGCTTCTTGGTCTATTATGTCCTAATTTCCTTATAAAAACACCAGCCAAACTGGATTAGGGCACACCCTAAAAGCCTCATTTTAACTTACTTAATTGCCTCTTTAAAAGCCTGATCTTGGCCGGGTACGGTGGTTCATGCCTGTAATCCCAGCACTTTGGGAGGCCAACGTGGGCGGATCATGAGGTCAAGAGATTGAGACCATCCTGGCCAACATGGTGAAACCCTGTCTGTACTAAAAATACAAAAATTACCTGGGGATGGTGGCACGTTCCTGTAGTCACAGCTACTCAGAGGCTAAGGCAGGAGATCGCTTGAACCTGGGAGGCGGAGGTTGCAGTGAGCTAAGATCGCACCACTGCACTCCAGCCTGGTGACAGAGTGAGACTCCATCTCAAAAAAAAAAAAAAAAAAAAAAAAAAAAAAAAAAAAGCCTGATCTTACACATAGAGTCCCATTCTGAGGTACTGGGGTTAGGGCTCCAGCATATTAATTTGGGGGGTGAGGGGATGGGGACAATTCAGTCTATAAGTGGATGCTCACTTGTAAAATTATTTCAAATTATCTCCCTGTTTGAAAATATTTAATAATAGGATGGGAACTGTAGCTCACACCTTAAGGCCAGTGCTTTGGGAGGCCAAGGCAGGAGGATCACTTGAGATCAGGAGTTCAAGACAAGCCTGGGCAACATAGTAAGACCCCATCTCTACCAAAAAAAAATTAGCTGGGCATGGTGGCATGTGCCTGTAGTTTCAGCTACTCAAAAAGCTGAGGCAGGAGATTGCTTGAGCCCAGGAAGTCAAGGCTGCATTGAGCTGTGATTTGTTCTGTGGAGCAAGATCCTGTCTCAAAAAAAAAAAAAAAAAAAAAAAAGACAGGTAACTGATCTGAAGGTGAAGCTTGGACCAGCAAAAAATGGACCAGAACAACCCAAATGCCCATCAATTTATAAATGAGTGTTTTTAATGTGATATATTCATACATTGTGTATTATTCAGCCACAGAGGTGGGAAGGATGTGTCTACATGAATGAAAACCTTGTGCTAAGGGAAAGACGCTACTCACAAAAGACCAACTATATGTAATTCCATTTCTATGAAATGTCAAAAATAGATAAATCTATACAGATGGAAAGTAGATTAGTGGTTGCTTAGGGGGAGTTGGACAGGGAAAATACAGGGATATGGTTCAAGTTCTATTCAGTTCCTTTTCGTAATTTCTATCTCTTTATTGATACTCTTGATGTTCTCTATATGTTGAGTGTAAGAGTTGAAGAAAGAAACAGGAAAAGCAGCTCAACAGTCAAAGACAGGTTTATTTTGGGAATAAACCTGAGAGGGGCTTCTGGCCAATTTAGGTCAGGAGTATTCTCTCTTACAGACTAAAACTATTTAAGAGTTTAGGGGCTGGGCACGGTGGCTCATGCCTGTAATCCCAGCACTTTGGGAGGCCGAGGCAGGTGAATCACGAGGTCAGGAGTTCGAGACTAGCCTGACCAACATGGTGAAACCCTGTCTCTACTAAAAATAGAAAAATTAGGAGGGAGGAGCCAAGATGGCCAAATAGGAACAGCTCCAGTCTACAGCTCCCAGAGTGAGCGACACAGAAGATGGGTGATTTCTGCATTTCCATCTGAGGTACTGGGTGCATCTCACTAGGGAGTGCCAGACAGTGGGCGCAGGACAGTGGGTGCAGTGCGCCGTGTGCGAGCTGAAGCAGGGCAAGGCATTGCCTCACTCGGGAAGTGCAAGGGGTCAGGGAGTTCCCTTTCCTGGTCAAGGAAAGGGTGACAGACAGCACCTGGAAAATTGGGTCACTCCCACCCAAATACTGCGCTTTTCCGATGGGCTTAGGAAACGGCACACCAGGAGATTGTATCCCGCACCTGGCTCGGAGGGTCCTATGCCCATGGAGTCTTGCTGATTGCTAGCACAGCAGTCTGAGATTAAACTGCAAGGCAGCAGCGAGGCTGGGGGAAGGGTGCCCGCATTGCTCAGGCTCACTTAGGTAAACAAAGCAGCCAGGAAGCTCGAACTGGGTGGAGCCCACCACAGCTCAAGTAGGCCTGCCTGCCTCTGTAGGCTCCACCTCTGGGGGCAGGGCACAGACAAACAAAAAGACAGCAGTAACCTCTGCAGACTTAAATGTCCCTGTCTGACAGCTCTGAAGGAGCAGTGGTTCTCCCAGCATGCAGCTGGAGATCTGAGAACAGGCAGACTGCCTCCTCAAGTGGGTCCCTGACCCCTGACCCCTGAGCAGCCTAACTGGGAGGCACCCCCCAGTAGGGGCAGACTGACACCTCACACGGCCGGGTACTTATCTGAGACAAAACTTCCAGAGGAACGATCAGACAGCAGCATTCGTGGTTCATGAAAATCCGCGGTTCTGCAGACACGGCTGCTGATACCCAGGCAAACAGGGTCTGGAGTGGACCTCGAGCAAACTCCAACAGACCTGCAGCTGAGGGTCCTGTCTGTTAGAAGGAAAACTAACAAACAGAAAGGACATCCACACCAAAAACCCATCTGCACATCACCATCATCAAAGACCAAAAGTAGATAAAACCACAAAGATGGGGAAAAAACAGAGCAGAAAAACTGAAACTCTAAAAAGCAGAGCGCCTCTCCTCCAAAGGAATGCAGTTCGTCACCAGCAACGGAACAAAGCTGGACGGAGAATGACTTTGACGAGTTGAGAGAAGAAGTCTTCAGACGATCAAACTACTCCGAGCTACAGGAGGAAATTCAAACCAAAGGCAAAGAAGTTGAAAACTTTGAAAAAAATTTAGACGAATGTATAACTAGAATAACCAATACAGAGAAGTGCTTAAAGGAGCTGATGGAGTTGAAAGCCAAGGCTCAAGAACTACGTGAAGAATGCAGAAGCCTCAGGAGCCGATGCAATCAACTGGAAGAAAGGGTAGCAGTGATGGAAGATGAAATGAATGAAATGAAGTGAGAAGGGAAGTTTAGAGAAAAAAGAATAAAAAGAAATGAACAAAGCCTCCAAGAAATATGGGACTATGTGAAAAGACCAAATCTGCATCTGATCAGTGTACCTGAAAGTGACAGGGAGAATGGAACCAAGTTGGAAAACACTCTGCAGGATATTATCCAGGAGAACTTCCCCAATCTAGCAAGGCAGGCCAACATTCAGATTCAGGAAATGCAGAGAATGCCACAAAGATATTCCTCAAGAAGAGCAACTCCAAGACACATAATTGTCAGATTGACCAAAGTTGAAATGAAGGAAAAAATGTTAAGGGCAGCCAGAGAGAAAGGTCGGGTTACTCACAAAGGGAAGCCCATCAGACTAACAGCGGATCTCTCAGCAGAAACTCTACAAGCCAGAAGAGAGTGGGGGCCAATATTCAACATTCTTAAAGAAAAGAATTTTCAACCCAGAATTTCATATCCAGCCAAACTAAACTTCATAAGTGAAGGAGAAATAAAATACTTTACAAGCAAGCAAATGCTGAGAGATTTTGTCACCACCAGGCCTGCCCTAAAAAAGTCCCTGAAGGAAGCACTAAACGTGGAAAGGAACAACTGGAACCAGCCCCTGCAAAATCATGCCAAAATGTAAAGACCATCAAGACTAGGAAGAAACTGCATCAACTAACGAGCAAAATAACCAGCTAACATCATAATGACAGGATCAAATTCACATATAACAATATTAACTTTAAATGTAAATGGACTAAATGCTCCAATTAAAAGACACAGACTGGCAAATTGGATAAAGAGTCAAGACCCATCAGTGTGCTGTATTCAGGAAACCCATCTCACGTGCAGAGACACACATAGGCTCAAAATAAAAGGATGGAGGAAGATCTACCAAGCAAATGGAAAACAAAAAAAGGCAGGGGTTGTAATCCTAGTCTCTGATAAAACAGACTTTAAACCAACAAAGATCGAAAGAGACAAAGAAGGCCATTACATAATGGTAAAGGGATCAATTCAACAAGAAGAGCTAACTATCCTAAATATATATGCCCCCAATACAGGAGCACCCAGATTCATAAAGCAAGTCCTGAGTGACCTACAAAAAGACTTAGACTCCCACACAATAATAATGGGAGACTTTAACACCCCACTGTCAACATTAGACAGATCAATGAGACAGAAAGTTAACAAGGATACCCAGGAATTGAACTCAGCTCTACACCAAGCAGACCTAATAGACATCTACAGAACTCTCCACCCCAAATCAACAGAATGTACATTTTTTTCAGCACCACACAACACCTATTCCAAAATTGACCACATAGTTGGAAGTAAAGCTCTCCTCAGCAAATGTAAAAGAACAGAAATTATAACAAACTGTCTCTCAGACCACAGTGCAATCAAACTAGAACTCAGGATTAAGAAACCCACTCAAAACTGCTCAACTACATGGAAACTGAACAACCTGCTCCTGAATGACTACTGGGTACATAATGAAATGAAGGCAGAAATAAAGATGTTCTTTGAAACCAATGAGAACAAAGACACAATATACCAGAATCTCTGGGACACATTCAAAGCAGTGTGTAGAGGGAAATTTATAGCACTAAATGCCCACAAGAGAAAGCAGGAAAGATCCAAAATGGACACCCTAACATCACAATTAAAAGAACTAGAAAAGCAAGAGCAAACACATTCAAAAGCTAGCAGAAGGCAAGAAATAACTAAAATCAGATCAGAACTGAAGGAAATAGAGACCAAAAAAACCCTTCAAAAAATTAGTGAATCCAGGAGCTGGTTTTTTGAAAGGATCAACAAAATTGATAGACCACTAGCAAGACTAATAAAGAAAAAAAGAGAGAAGAATCAAATAGACACAATAAAAAATGATAAAGGGGATATCACCACCGATCCCACAGAAATACAAACTACCATGAGAGAATACTACAAACACCTCTATGCAAATAAACTAGAAAATCTAGAAGAAATGGATAAATTCCTCGACACATACACTCTCCCAAGACTAAACCAGGAAGAAGTTGAATCTCTGAATAGACCAATAACAGGAGCTGAAACTGTGGCAATAATCAATAGCTTACCAACCAAAAAGATTCCAGGACCAGATGGATTCACAGCCGAATTCTACCAGAGGTACAAGGAGGAACTGGTACCATTCCTTCTGAAACTATTCCAATCAATAGAAAAAGAGGGAATCCTCCCTAACTCGTTTTATGAGGCCAGCATCATCCTGATACCAAAGCCGGGCAGAGACACAACCAAAAAAGAGAATTTTAGACCAATATCCTTGATGAACATTGATGCGAAAATCCTCAATAAAATACTGGCAAACCGAATCCAGCAGCACATCAAAAAGCTTATCCACCATGATCAAGTGGGCTTCATCCCTGGGATGCAAGGCTGGTTCAATATACACAAATCAATAAATGTAATCCAGCATATAAACAGAACCAAAGACAAAAACCACATGATTATCTCAATAGATGCAGAAAAGGCCTTTGACAAAATTCAACAACCCTTCATGCTAAAAACTCTCAATAAATTAGGTATTGATGGGACATATCTCAAAATACTAAGAGCTATCTATGACAAACCCACAGCCAATATCATACTGAATGGGCAAAAACTGGAAACATTCCCTTTGAAAACTGGCACAAGACAGGGATGCCCTCTCTCACCACTCCTATTCAACATAGTGTTGGAAGTTCTGGCCAGGGCAATTAGGCAGGAGAAGGAAATAAAGGGTATTCAGTTAGGAAAACAGGAAGTCAAATTGTCCCTGTTTGCAGACGACATGATTGTATATCTAGAAAACCCCATTGTCTCAGCCCAAAATCTCCTTAAGCTGATAAGCAACTTCAGCAAAGTCTCAGGATACAAAATCAATGTACAAAAATCACAAGCATTCTTATACACCAATAACAGACAAACACAGAGCCAAATCATAAGTGAACTCCCATTCATAATTGCTTCAAAGAGAATAAAATACCTAGGAATGCAACTTACAAGGGACGTGAAGGACCTCTTCAAGGAGAACTACAAACCACTGCTCAATGAAATAAAAGAGGATACAAACAAATGGAAGAACATTCCATGCTCATGGGTAGGAAGAATCAATATCGTGAAAATGGCCATACTGCCCAGGGTAATTTATAGATTCAATGCCATCCCCATCAAGATACTGATGACTTTCTTCACAAAATTGGAAAAAACTACTTTAAAGTTCACATGGAACCAAAAAAGAGCCCACATCGCCAAGTCAATCCTAAGCCAAAAGAACAAAGCTGGAGGCATCATGCTACCTGACTTCAAACTATACTACAAGGCTACAGCAACCAAAACAGCATGGTACTGGTACCAAAACAGAGATATAGATCAATGGAACAGAACAGAGCCCTCAGAAATAACACCACATATCTACAACTATCTGATCTTTGACAAATCTGAGAAAAACAAGCAATGGGGAAAGGATTCCCTGTTTAATAAATGGTGCTGGGAAAACTGGCTAGCCATATGTAGAAAGCTGAAACTGGATCCCTTCCTTACACCTTATACAAAAATTAATTCAAGATGGATTAAAGACTTAAACGTTAGACCTAAAACCATAAAAACCCTAGAAGAAAACCTAGGCATTACCATTTAGGACATAGGCATGAGCAAGGACTTCATGTCTAAAACACCAAAAGCAATGGCAACAAAAGCCAAAATTGACAAATGGGATCTAATTAAACTAAAGAGCTTCTGCACAGCAAAAGAAACTACCATTGGAGTGAACAGGCAACCTATAAAATGGGAGAAAATTTTCACAACCTACTCATCTGACAAAGGGCTAATATCCAGAATCTACAATGAACTCAAACACATTTACAAGGAAAAAGCAAACAACCCCAACAAAAAGTGGGAGAAGGACATGAACAGACACTTCTCAAAAGAAGACATTTATGCAGCCAAAAAACACATGAAAAAATGCTCACCATCACTGGCTATCAGAGAAATGCAAATCAAAACCACAATGAGATACCATCTCACACTAGTTAGAATGGCAATCATTAAAAAGTCAGGAAACAACAGGTGCTGGAGAGGATGTGGAGAAATAGGAACACTTTCACACTGTTGGTGGGACTGTAAACTAGTTCAACCATTGTGGAAGTCAGTGTGGCAGTTCCTCAGGGATCTAGAACTAGAAATACCATTTGACCCAGCCATCCCATTACTGAGTATATACCCAAAGGACTATAAATCATGCTGCTATAAAGACACATGCACACGTATGTTTATTGGGGCACTATTCACAATAGCAAAGACTTGGAACCAACCCAAATGTCCAACAATGATAGACTGGATTAAGAAAATGTGGCACATATACACCATGGAATACTATGCAGCCATAAAAAATGATGAGTTCATGTCCTTTGTAGGGACATGGATGAAATTGGAAATCATCATTCTCAGTAAACTATCACAAGGACAAAAAACCAAACACCGCATGTTCTCACTCATAGATGGGAATTGAACAATGAGAACACATGGACACAGGAAGGGGAATATCACACTCTGGGGACTGTTGCGGGATGGGGGGAGTGGGGAGGGATAGCATTAGGAGATATACCTAATGCTAAATGACGAGTTAATGGGTGCAGCACACCAGCATGGCACATGTACACATATGTAACTAACCTGCACATTGTGCACATGTACCCTAAAACTTAAAGTATAATAATAAAAAAATTTATTTGAAAAAATAATAATAATTAAATAAATAAATAAAAATAAACATAGAAAAATTAGCCAGGCATGGTGGCACGTGCCTGTAATCCCATCTACTCAGGAGGCTGAGGCAGGAGAATCGCTTGAACCTGGGAAGCGGAGGTTGCAGTGATGCGAGATCACGCCACTGCACTCCAGCCTGGGCAGCAGAGCAAGATTCCATCTCAAAAAGAAAAGTTTAGTGAGGGAGAGCTTATCACAGGTTCAGAATGTTTTCTGAGTGGAGGAGAGTTTATCTCAGCATTGGAATGTTTCTGGTCAAAGGTGTCATTTATGGTTTATGGTCAAGCTGAGATTAGCCATTAGACTCATGTTTTAGGGGCTGGATTTAGGCGATTTTTAATCAAAGGGAACTTAAAATAGTGGTGTTTGTCCAAGATGGCAATGCACCTGCTCTGTCATTGAGACATCTTTGTCAAGGGTTTTCTTTCAAGCTTGTCTGACCTGCCTTATTTTGGTGATGGTGTTCTCTTTCGTTTTTGGCTTTTAGCAGCCTGAATCCATGGTTTCTAGTTTCTGTCTCTAGTGATAAGCAGAAAAGAGGGATGAGGATGGGGCTTTACTGGCCCAACCAGAAACAGAAACAAAAACACATGACTATGTTCTCTCCCTTGGACATGCCTGCTTAGCTCTTTGAACATATTTAAGATAGTTGTGTTAAAGTATTTGTAGGGGGATTCTCCCCCTTCCCCAGGTTTTGTTGTTGTGGCTTGCTTTGGGCTCCCCTTTTCCATTTGTTCAGTGACTTTTCCAACTATTTTTAGAAAGACTATATTCCTTGTTGTGTGTGGTCAGTAAAATCCCTTTTTCCATTATCTCAAATAGAACATAGATCTCTTTTTGGTTTTTTGTTTTTGTTTTTGTTTTTTGAGACAGAGTCTCACTCTTGTCACTCAGGCCACAGTGCAGTGGCATGATCTCGGTTCACTGCAACCTCCACCTCCCAGGTTCAAGTGATTCACCTGCCTCAGCTTCCCAAGTAGCTGGGATTACAGGTGTGTGCCACCACACCCGGCTAATTTTTGTATTTTTAGTAGAGATGAGGTTTCACTATGCTGGTCAGGCTGGTCTCGAACTCCTGGTGGCCTCAAGTGATCTGCCTGCCTTGACCTCCCAAAGTGCTGGGATTACAGGTGTGAGCTGCCATGCCTGGCTAGTAATGTAACAATTAGTTTTAAAGTTAACTCTAGCATGACTTTCCAGGCAAGGATAGTGTCTACTGAAGGATTGAAAGACACAAACTACCAGCATCTGCCTGGGGCTAGGGGATATTGGGTTAGGCAAGAAGCAGACAGACCCAAAAGCCTCACAAAGGAGACAGCTGAGAAGGAAGTTTGTTGAAAATAATGAGGACTTGGAAGGGTCACCACATATCCCAGGGAAGGGACTGTAGTGTGCGGGACACTAGAAAGTAACACACTGGATCCAAGCTCAGAAAAACCTGAGATGGTTGGGCACGGTGGCTCATACCTGTAATCCCAGCTACTCGGGAGGCTGAGGCAGGAGAATCGCTTGAACCCAGGAGGCGCAGGTTGCAGTGAGCCGAGATCGCGCCACTGCACTCCAGCCTGGGCAACTAGAGTGAAACTCCGTCTCAAAAAAAAAAAAAAAAACAGTAAATCGATGGAGGAACATTTGTTTTTAGAACCATTTCTCTCCTGAAAACCTAATGTGTGATAAAGATAGAATTTCAAAACAGTTTAACAATGACGATTTAATTAGAGGCCTGTGAACAATAGATTATACATGCGTAAGAGAATTTTGCTCGACTAACTTTTGAATTAGGAAAACTCCTCAATATATTAGAAATATTAATATATCATCAAGCTAATATTTAAACATTATAAAGCTAACAAAACTCTGAGGAAGCAAGAAGAAAACAGAAACTAAATCATGTGCAACTTAGATATTTGATCAAAATATGCACATTTAGCGTGTCTATCAGGTGATAAGTAAAATATAGAAATTGATTCAAAATACAAAAGGAGCTCAAACATCTCAATAGCACACAACCTTTTTTTTTTTTTTTCTGAGACAGAGTCTATTGCCCAGTCTGGAGTGCAGTGGAACAATCTCAGCTCACCCCAACCTCCACCTCTCAGGTTCAAGCAATTCTCCGGCCTCAGCCTCCTGAGGAGCTGGCAGTACAGGTGCCTGCCACCACGCCTGACTAATCTGTGTATTTTTAGTAGATACAGGATTTCACCATATTAGCCAGCCTGGTCTCGAACGCCCGACCCCAGGTAATCCTCCCACCTCATCCCCCCAAAGTGCTGGCATTACAGGCGTGAGACACAGTGCTTGACCCAATAGGACAAAATCTAATAATTTGATTTTGAAAATGGGCAAAAGACAGGAATAGATTATTTTTTTATTTTTTTATTTTTAGACAGAGTCTCACTCTGTCACCCAGACTGGAGAGCAATGGCACGATCTCAGCTCACTGCAACCTCCGCCTCCCAGGTACAAGCGATTCTCCTGCCTCAGCCTCCCAAGTAGATGGGATTACAGGCATCCGCCACCACGCCCAGCTAGTTTTTGTACTTTTAGTAGACACAGGGTTTCATCACGTTGGCCAGGCTGGTCTCAAACTCCTGACCTCAGAAGATCCGCCCACCTTGGCTTCCCAAAGTGCTGGGATTACAGGCATGAGACACCACGCCTGGCCTCTGAATAGACGTTTTTCAAAAGAAGATATACAAATGGTAAACAGGCTTATGAAAAGGTGCTCAACATCATTGATCATCAGAGAAATGCAAGTCAAAACTATGAGGAGATATCACCTTACCCCAGTTAGCTTACATCCAAAAGACAGACAATAATACATGCTGGTAAGGATGTGGAGAAAAGAGAACGCTTGTACTGTGTTGCTTAGTTCAACCACTATGCAGAGCAGTAAGGGCCACAAAGTGAGACCTTGTCTCTAAAAAAAATTACAAAAACAGGCCTGGCGCAGTGGCTCACACCTGTAATTCCAGCACTTTGGGAGGCCCAGGCAGACAGATCGTCTGAGCTCAGGAGTTCAAAACGAGCCTGGGCAACTTGGCGAAACCGCGTCTCTACTAAAAATACAAAAATTAGCTGGGTGTGGTGGAGCACGCCTGTAATCCCAGTTACTTGGGTGGCTGAGGCACGAGAATCGCTTGAGGCTGGGACGTGGAGGTGGCAGAGAGTCAAGATTTTACCACTGCACTCCAGCCTGGGTGCCAGAGTGAGACTGTGTCAAAAAAAAATGGTGAATAGAAGAATAATTGAATAACTGCCTCAGACATTTATACAGTTCTCAACTCATTCTGGGCACACGGAAGACCGTGTTGGACTCATCTCCTTGATTTTAAAAACAGTCATTCTAAAATCAAGGAGACTAGATGTATCACTTCTAGGCCAAATCGTGAAAGAAAACGTGTAAGAGTTTCATGTGCTCTTCATCTCTGTGATCACAATTGAAGAAGGCATGAGTTTGAGATGCTGCATCACCAAGATCGTGGTGATTCCATTATCATTACCCTTGTAACTTGTGAGCATCCTTACTGCCAGCAATCATTATTAGATATCAAATGTGAGATAGGAGTTCATATTTACGGTATGAATATCTTGGTCTGGGAGTGGTGGCTCATGCCTGTAATCCCAGTGCTTTGGGAGGCAGAGGCAGGAGGCTCACTTGAGCCCAAGAGCCCAAGAGTTCGAGACCAGCCAGGACAATTTAGCGAGACCCCATCTCAACAAAAAATTTAAAAATCAGCCAAGTGTGGTGGTAGGTGCCTGTAGTCTCAGCTATTTGGGAGGCTGAAGTGGGAGGATCCCTTGAGCCTGGGATGTCAAGGCTACAGAGAGCCAAGATCGTGCCACTGAACTTCAGCCTGGGCAACAGAGCAAGACTGTCTCAAAAATAAAATGTTTTATTCTTTAGGCTTAAATTCTAACCCTCAAACCTCCAATGTGAAGGTATTAGGAGCTGGGGCCTTTTGGAGATGATGACGTTATGAAGGTGGAGCCCTCATAGATGGGATTAGTGCCCTTCTGAAAGTGACAGAAGAGAGCTCGCCGGCACCTTCCATGTGAGGAGACAGGGAGGATATGACAGTCTCCAACCTGGAAGAGGGTCCTCACCAGACCCCGATCATGCTGGCACCCTCATCTTGGACTTCCAGCCTCCAGAACTGGGATAAACAAATGTCTGTTCTTAAAAAAAAAAAAAGCGTGGAAAGCAGTGTTAATGTTCCCAATCACTTTGAGTACATTCTTTCTTTAACTATGTCTTAATGCATAGTTGTGTTGTATGGCCTAGTTTGTA
Organism: Homo sapiens; assembly: GCF_000001405.40. Lineage (NCBI taxonomy): Eukaryota > Metazoa > Chordata > Mammalia > Primates > Hominidae > Homo > Homo sapiens. The sequence goes on along the minus strand of NW_025791807.1, from coordinate 26,454 downwards.
ATGTTAGAATATGCATGTTAGTGAATTAATAAATACAGCAATAAAGAATACTGTTCAGGTTGGGAATGGTGGCTCACGCCTGTAATCCCAGCACAATGGAAGGCCAAGGCTGGTCAATCACCTGTAGTCGGGAGTTGGAGATCAGCCTGACCAACATGGAGAAATCCCGACTCTACTAAAAATACAAATCAGTCTGCCATAGTGGCACATGCCTTTAATCCCACTGCTCGGGAGGCTGAGGCAGGAGAATCACTTGAACCTGGGAGGCAGAGGTTGTGGTGAGCCGAGATCGCGCCATTGCACTCCAGCCTGGGCAACAAACGCTAAACTGAATCTCAAAAAATTAAAAAAAAAAAAAAAAAGAATGCTGTTTGTTGACCATTTGATCAGCTAGACTTGGTGCTTCCTGGTGAGCCAGGAGAGCGCTGCCCCACCCCCAACCCATTCCAGTAGACATGGCATAAGAGTGATTCTCACTCTCTGCTATAGCCTCTTTATCCATTGGCTGAAATGATTTTTTTAAAGTGTCTTATAAATGTTTCCATAGTAAAAAAAGAATTGAATTTTATAGTGACTCTTTTGGGGATCATTACCCATAATTTGTTTGAACTCCTAAAAAATGGAAGTATGCCGAGCACAGTGGCTCATGCTTGTAATCCCAGCACTTTGGGAGGCTGAGGCGGGCGGATCACCTGATGTCAGGAGTTCAAGACCAGCCTGACCAATGTGGGAAAACCCCAACTCTACTAAAAATATAAAAATTAGCCAACCATGGTGGTGTGCACCTGTAGTCCCAGCTACTTGGGAGGCTGAGACAAGACAATTGCTTGAACCCAGGAGGCAGAAGTTGCAGTGAGCTGAGATGGTGCCACTGCACTCCAGCCTCGAAGACAGAGGGAGATTTTGTCTCAAAAAAAAAAAAAAAAAGGAAGTAAAGGGAAATAAATAAGGAATCTTTGACTGGATATCTGGATTGCCTATGAAAGCGTGTGTGTGTGTGTGTGTGTGTGTGTGTGTGTGTGTGTGTGTGTGTGTGTGTAGCCAGGAAGAAGTGTCTGTTCCTGGGGTGCAGACCCTTCTTTGTCTGGAGAAAGTTCATTGCTGGTAACTCATTGTGGGTTTTGTGAACATTTTCTCTCTCTCTTTCTTTCTTTCTTTCCTTCTTTCTTTCTCTTTCTTTCTTTCTTTCTTTCCTTCGGACATTTTCTCCTCCCTTCCTCCCTCCCTCCCTTTCTTCTTTCCCTCCCTCCCTCCCTCCCCTCAGGAGAATGGCGTGAACCGAGGAGGCAGAGCTTGCAGGGCGCCAATGTCACTCCACTGCACTCCAGCCTGGGCAACAGTGCAAGACTCCGCCTCAAAAAAAAAAAAGGAGAAAAAAAAGAAAATCTCCATTTCTGGCCACGCACAGTAGCTCACACCTGTAATCCCAGCACTTTAGGAGGCTGAAGCGGGTGGATCGCTTGAGCCCGGGAGTTGGAGACCAGCCCGGGCAGCATGAGGAAACCCCATCTCTAGAACAAATGCAAAAATTACACAGGTGTGGGATCTCCCCACTCCAGAGGCTGAGGTGGGAGGATGGCTTCAGTGCAGGAGGCACAGGTTGCAGTGATCTGAGATCGTGCCATTGCACTCCAGCCTGAGTGACAGAGTGAGACCCGGTCTACAAATAATCCTAATAAAAAGTAAAGTAAAATAAAATAAAACTCCATTTCTGCCGCAAACTGTTTTATTTCTACTGGATACAAGGCACAGATGGTAGAGCCCAGAGTAAGTGGACAGAGATGAGCTTTCTCAAGGCAAAAGAGGATCCCCCACTCCACAGATGACAGCACACACACACACACACACACTCACACAATCAAAAAACACACGTACGAATCCATTTATACCCCCACCATAGGTCATCTTCAGATTTCCCCCAGCGTTTCCCAAATGCATGAGTTTCCACTTCTAAAGAGTCTCTTGTGAATAGACCCCCAGAGGTGGTCTGTTTGGACAATTATGGAGGAATCACAATTAGAAACTCTCTCACAACATCTTATATATTTCCCTTTAATTCCTTTTTTTATTTTTTTAAGATGGAATCTCCCTCTGTCATACAGTCTGGAGTGAAATGGCACCATCTCAGCTCACTGCAACTTTTGCCTCTTGGGTTCAAGCAATTTTCCTGTCTCAGCCTCCCAAGTAGCTGGGAATACAGGTACACACCACCATCGTCGGCTAATTTTTGTATTTTTAGTAGAGTTAGGATTTCTCCCACATTGGTCAGGCTGGTCGTGAACTCCTGACATCAGGTCATCCGCCCACCCAAAGCGCTGGGATTACAGGCATAAGCCACTGTGCTTGGCATACTTCCATGTTTTAGGAGTTCAAACAAATTATGGGTAACAATCCCCAAAAGCGTCACTATAAAATTCAATTCGTTTTTTAATGTGGAAACATTTATAAGACATATAAAAAAATCATTTCAACCAATGGATGAAGAGGCTATAGCAGAAAGTGAGAATCACTCTTCTGCCATGTCTACTGGAATGAATGGGGGCTGCAGCAGGGCTCTCCTGGCCCACAAGGAAGCACCAAGACTAGCTGAACAAATGGTCAACAAACACCATTACATTTTTTTTTTCTTTATTCAGATAGAGTTTAGCTTTTGTTGCCTAGGATAGACTGCACGCACACGATCTCAGCTCACCACAACCTCTACCTCCTAGGTTCAAGTGATTCCCCTGCCTCAGCCTCCGAAGTAGCTGGGATTAAAGACACGTGCCACTATGACAGGCAGATTGGTATTTTTAGTAGAGTCGGGATTTCTCCATGTTGGTCAGGATGATCTCCAACCCCCGACTTCAGATGATTGACACGACTTGCCCACCCATTGTGCTGGGATTACAGGCGAGAGCCACCATTGCCAACGAGAACAGTATTCTTCACTGCTGTATTTATTAATTCACTGATATGCATATACTAATATTACAAACTAGGCCATCCAAGACAACTATGCATTAAGACATAGTTAAGGAAAGAATGTACTCAAAGTGATTGGGAACATTAACATTGCTTTCCACACTTTTTTTTTCTTTAAGAATACACATTTGTTGATCAGAGTTCTGGAGGCCGGAAGTCGAAGATGAGGGTGCCAGCATGATCGGGGTCTGGTGAGGACCCTCTTCCAGGTTGGAGACTGTCATATCCTCCCTGTCTCCCCACATGGAAGGTGCTGGCGAGCTCTCTTCGGTCACTTTCAGAGGGGCACTAATCCCATTTACGAGGGTTCCACTTTCATAATCTCATTATCTCCCAAGGGCCCCACCTCCTAATACCGCCACATTGGAGGTTTGAGTGTTAGAATTTAAGCCTAAAGGAAAAAGTATTTTATTTTTGAGAGAGAGTCTTGCTCTGTTGCCCAGACTGAAGTTCAGTGGCACGATCTCGGCTCCCTGTAGCCTTGACATCCCGGGCGCAAGCGATCCTAACACTTCAGCCTCCTAAGTAGCTGAGATTACAGGCACCTACCAGCACACTTGGCTGATTTTTACATTTTTGTAGAGACGAGGGTCTGGCTATGCTGTCCCGGCTTGTCTCGAACTCCTGGGCTCAAGCGAGCCTCCTGCCTCTGCCTCCCAAAGCACTGGGATGACAGGCATGAGCCACCACTCCCAGAACAAGATATTCATACAGCAAATATGAACTCCTATATCAGATTCCATATCTAATAATGATTGCTGGCAGTAAGGATGCTCACAAGTTACAAGGGTAATGACAATGGAATCACCACGATCTTGGTGATGCAGCGTCTCAAACTCATGCCTTCTTCAATTGTGATCACAGAGATGAAGAGCACATGAAACTCTTACACATTCTCTTTCAAGATTTCGCCTAGAAGTGATACATCTAGAATCCTTGATTTTAGAATGACTGTTTTTAAAATCGAGGAGATGAGTACAACACGGTCTTCTGTGTCCCCAGAGTGAGATGAGAAATGTATAAGTGACTCAGGCAGTTATTCAATTATTCTTCTATTCACCAATTTTTCTTTTACACACAGGAAGGAAGGACGGAAGGAAGAGGGGAAGGGGAAAGGAAGAAGGCAGGAAGGAAGGAAAGAGGGAAGGGAGGGAGGAAGGATGGAAAGAGGGAGGGAGGGAGTGAGGAGGGGGGGATGGAGTGGGGTTAGGATCGAGGGAGGGAGAAAGCAAAAAATGTCAGAAAGAACGAAAGAAAGAGAGAAAATATCTCCAAAACCCACAATGAGTCAACAGCAATGGACATTCTCAAGAGAAAGAAGGGTCTCCACCCCAGGAACAGCCACTTCATCCTGGCTTCACACGCACACACACACACACACACACACACACACACACGCTTTCACAGGCACATCCACAAATCCAATCAAAGGTTCCTTCCTGTCATCCTGAAATTCTCAGTAGCGTTTGTCAAATGTCCTAAGATTGATCTTCTGAAGCACCTTCTTACTTGGGTAGGAAGTAGGAAGCCAACATATTTAGGAAACATGGCAGGAATTCAAGCAGAGACTCTCAGGGAAGCTTGTGAATTTCCTTCTGCTTCTGCTCCTTTGACACTTCATTTCGTGTACATAACATTCCCCAGGATAGCCACCGTGAAAGTTAACATATTTTTATTGCATGAAAATATAAAAGGCACACATGAAAAACTATTTCAGCGATGGATGAATTGGGTATTACAGAAAGTGTCTATCATTATTAGGCAAGACCTAGAGGATGGGAGGGGACAGGAAACAGGTTGACTCTTGATGGGATTAGGCAGGTTCTGTTGATCGGTCATCTATGGATTGAGTTACGCCCCAATCCTCCATGAGGGCCCCTCCCGTTGTCATACCAGGAACAGCCAATCACATCAGTTCCTGCTGACAAATCCCCTGGCTCCACCCCCTGCTGACAGTGTACAAGATTCCCCCAAGAGCTCAGTTGTCAGAGCCTCATCCACCTGCCGCTGGCCACAGCCCCGTCGCTACACAACCCAAGCCTTCGGGAGCAGCTTTGGGGCTGACACCACTCTCTCAAAGGAACTAAAGGATTCGGGAGCCAAGAAGAAATCTTTGCAGGAGACAGACAAACACTGGCAGTGGCTGACTTGGAGAACCCTGGAAATTTTCACCATGAAAGGTTCCCGGCGCCCAAGAAGCCCCAGTGATTCCTGCACCGAATCCAAGAGCGACCACGCAGGAGAGAGCGGGTGAGCTTTGCTATGTGCTGGGGACGCCTGCGGGGTGACCTGCCTGTGGGATGTGTGGGTGTGTGTTGGAGAGAGGGGAAGGGAAAAGGGTGCATGAACCTGCCATGAGATTGGATGTTTTGAATTTGGGGCCAGAGGGAAGTGAGGTGCCCGTAAGTCATCACAGGGTGCTGGGAAGGCTTCTACATCGCAACCACACACATATCTCAGGGCAGCCCCACTTTCAATCCACCCAACCAGCTCCACAGGGAATGGGTTCTGTGTTCTGCAAGAAGGGAGATTGTAGGACATGATGTGAGAGTTTCAAGATCTACTAGGAAAAATAAAACAGTTTCCTCCTTTTTTCATTTTTAATTTTTCTATTTGTCTTATTTACTGATTTATTTTACTGAGACAGCGTCTCACTCCGATGGTCCACACTGGAGTGCAGTGGCGTGATTTTAGCTGACTGCGGGCTCCACCTCTGAGTCGCAGGTGATCCTCCCACCTGAGCCTCCTGAGTAGGTGAGACCACAGGCATGCACCACCATGACCCACTAATGTTTAGTATTTTTAGTGGAGACTAGCTTTCACCATGTTGCCCAGGCTGCTCTCAAACTCCTGGACTCAAGCAATCCTCCGACCTTGGCCTCCCAAAGTGCTGGGATTACAGGCGCATGCCGTCATGCCCGACAAATTCCTTCCTCTTCTCCTGCTGTGATTCGAATCCTAAGACCCCATTCCTTTGTTACCTGTGTAGACAGAGGTGCCACCTCTCCGGGATCTCAACATCTTTCTCCAGCTCCTCACACCCAAGGAGAGTTTTCCAACTCTCATCTGCATGAGCTCCTGAAAGGGTAAACTGCTCCCTGTGGGCACCGACCCTCCTTCCCTGCCTTTTCTTCACCCAGGGAAGCTCAGGTAGATGGGGTGAGAACAAGAACAGCTGGGAGTTAGGACAGATTGGGAGCAGGTCTCACAGGAAGTGGATGACGAGTCTGTGGCCTTGAATGAAAGGCAGGGAAGTGGAGTGAATTTGTGGGGATTCAGGGAATTGGACGTTAGGGAACTGCCCGAAATCTGACTGTGTCTCTCTCTCTGTCCTACAGCTCCAGCGGCACGCCATCAAATGCCCCAAAACGCCAGAAAGTGGAGGAGCTGGGTCCTCATCCAGGTGAGGCATCTTCTCTTTTTCATCCTGAGTCCCCTGCTACCAAGCCAGTGTCCCGTCACGTCATGAGGCGAGCAGCTGTGCTGTCCAGAGTGTCGGGAGCTTCCTCCTGCAGCTCCGTGGCTGGGTGTCCTGTACCTGGCTTCTTCTGTATTTGGTCTTTCTCACGGTGGCACCTTGAACCCTCAAGGGCATCCTGCATGACAAGGGCTTTCACCTGCACACTCTGCTCTCTCCACAGGTGCAGAACCAGCTCCGGTACAGCCAGCTCCCCACCACCCTGCACAACTGCCCCTGGAGCTGCCCCAGGTAAGGTCACACCACCTAGGTGGGCGTGGGTGAGACAGGTCTGCCTGAGCTCCAGGCCCTAGGGGACTTGCAGGAAATCACCGTCCCAAGGGGCGTCAATACAGGTGCCAATTCTGGGTGTCCCTGCGGGGTTTCATTTATGCCTGGGGAAGTTACTGGCAGCTCCCCGCCTTGCTCTCTCCCTGTTTGAGCCACCCTCAGAGGACAATGACTGACCCACGGCTTTTCTCCCCCAGGGCCCACAGCTTCCCCAGAGGAAGATGATCATCGCGGTCTTGGAACCAGGAATGGTCCTGCACCTGCGCCTGGGGCAGGAGTTCCTGGGGCTGGACCCACAGGGAGCCCTGCGACTCAGCCTCCTCAATGTGCAGCTCCTGGTGGTCCCTGAGCAACTCTTGATGTCCCTGAAGGATCTCTTGTACCCTGCCCATGCCCGCTGGCTCCTGCTCACTAGTACAGAGACTGTCTGGGAGATTGACATTGAAAATGGATCTGTGAGAGCCCAGAGAGCAGAGAATGTGTGTGTGGCGCCTTCAGTAAAAGAGGGTGAGGCTCCGCAAGGCTTCCTGACCCTGATGGGACCCCCAGCAAACCTTGTGCATGGAGTCAGCCCTTCTTCCTGGCGTGTCCTCTACCTCAAACCTGACTACAGAGCGGCCGTCCCCCAGGGCTCATCCCAAATGCCCAAGCCTAGTCCCTGGAGACAGGCTCTGCCTGAAGAATTCCACTTGGATCTCCACGGCCTGGAGCCCCTGCCCACCTCTGCTCTCAGACCTCTACCTCCATCACCCAGTCCGGAGCCCAGAATTTGCCACAAGTTTCTATGGAGGCCAACGTGCAAGGCCCGAAGACGTCTCTTCTAAGGCTCATGGGCCATGGACCCTCAGGCACCAGACGGGAATCAGAGACGCTCTATTCAGAATGAAGCACACCTGCTTTTTCATGGTGTCTCCCTGCACACATGTCTCGGCATCTCGGAGGAGAGAGATGCTGCGCATGCTGGAGAGGTGGAGAAATGCTCCGTCCTCTCACCTGAACCTTTGCTCTGCCTCAGATGCTCTTGATTTGTATCAAAGAGCAACCTTGAGATTGGGGCACAAAATATTTGCAAATCTCATATACGTGCAAGGACTGCTCATACTCAGAATACACAGAGTTGTCAAAACTCCAATGGGACAAACAAATGATTCTGTTCAAAACCCAGCCAGAGACTTGAGCAGACATTTCCTCAAAGGGGATGTAAAGAACCACTTCAAAAAGCGTTCACTGTCCCTCCCCTGGGGAAATGCACGTCAAATACACCTTCAACAACAACCAAGAAGCTCTCCCAGAAGCCACCGTGACAATCACTCACCATCCCAAGGGCTGCGGAGCATGTGGAGAAGCTGGAACACTCTGACAGTGCTGCTTGGAATCCAACTGGGACAACCCCCAGGGAGAAAGAGTTTCATTGATTCATAATCAATGCAATAGGCACTTAGCATTGGAACCATCTTTCCCACCCTGAGATAGTTGTTCTAAAGGAATTAGAACTCACGTGGACAAGGCTGAGGGCAGAGGCTTCTAGCACCTGTCCTCACAATCGCCAAAAGATGGAGGGGCCTTCAATGTCGTTCCACAGTGTCTAGAGAGAGGAACTGTGACCCATTCTTTCAATGGGATGCAGTTCAGCAATGAATAGGCTGGGATTGTTGTTGGTAAATTCAGTTCTAAGAATGAGTAGTGAAGAACTTGTCGAAACACTTGAAGGTATGTTTGGACTCTTACGCTATGTGAGACTTCTCCTGAGATTGTAACTCTCATGAAATTGACATGCACATCAAGCATGTGTGATCGACGTTCAGTTTCCAACTGACGTTTGCTGTAAAACACATACTAGATTTTGCATCTGAGAATGAAGGATTGTAGCATGTATCTTAGTCATCATTGTGACATCAATTGTATTGGTGTTGATTATATCTGTATTCCTTGGGTTAAATAAAAATGTTAAAATGAGTTTCGTCTATTTGCGTTTCTTTTCTTTAATGTGTTTGCTCAAAAATCTCCATTTCTGGGCCGTGCATGGTGGCTCATGCCTGTAATCCGAGCACTTCGGGAGGCTCAGGCGGGTGCATCACGAGGGCAGGAGATCGAGACCGTCCTGGCTAACACGGTGAAAGCCCGTCCCTACAAAAAAAAAAAAAAAAATGCAAAAACCTTAGCTGGGCGTGGTGTCGGGCGCCTGTAGTCCCAGCTCTTTGGGAGGCTGAGGCAGGAGAATGGCATGACCCCAGGAGGCAGAGCTTGCAGTGAGCCGAGGTCACTCCACTGCACTCCAGCCTGGGCCACGGTGCGAGGTTCCGTCTCATCAAAAGAAGAACAAAAATCTCCATTTCTGGCCGGGCACAGTAGCTCCCACCTGTAATCCCAGCACTTTGGGAGGCTGAGGCGGGTGGATCACTTGAGCCCGGGCGTTGGAAACCAGCCCGGGCAGCATGAGGAAACCCCATCTCTAGAAAAAATGCAAAAATTACACAGGTGTGGGATCTCCCCACTCCAGAGGCTGAGGTGGGAGGATGGCTTCAGTGCAGGAGGCACAGGTTGCAGTGATCTGAGATCGTGCCGTTGCACTCCCGCCTGAGTGACAGAGTGAGACCCGGTCTACAAATAATCCTAATAAAAAGTAAAGTAAAATAAAATAAAACTCCATTTCTGCCGCAAACTGTTTTATTTCTACTGGATACAAGGCACAGATGGTAGAGCCCAGAGTAAGTGGACAGAGATGAGCTTTCTCAAGGCAAAAGAGGATCCCCCACTCCACAGATGACAGCACACACACAAACACACAGTCACACTCTCACACAATCACAAGACACATTTAAGTATCCATTTACACCCCCACCACAGGTCATCTTCAGATTTCCCTGAGTGATTCTCAAATGCATGAGTCTGCACTTCTAACGAGTCTTTTACGAATAGATCCCCAGAGGTGGTCTGTTTGGACAATTAAGGGGGAATCACGATTAGCAACTCTCTCCTAACACCTTGTATATTTGTATATTTCCCTTTACTTCCTTTTCTTTCTTTTCTATTTGGTTATTTATTTATTATTTGAGACGAAATATCCACTGTGCTCGGCATACTTCCCTTTTCTAGGAGTACAAACAAATTATGGAATGATGGGTAACAATCCCCGAAAGAGTCCCTATAAAAGTCAATTCAATTTTTTTTGCTATGGAAGCATTAATAAGACACATTAAAAAAGAATCATTTCAGCCAATGGATAAGGAGGCTATAGCAGAAAGTGAGAATCACTCTTATGCCATGACTACTGGAATGGGTAGGAATGGGGCAGGGCTCTCCTCGCCCACCAGGAAGCACCAAGACTGGCCACTCAAATGGTCAACAAACAGCCTTCTTTTTTTTTTTTTTAATTTTTTGCTATAGAATTTAGCTTTTGTTGCCCAGGCTGGAGTGCAATGGCGCGATCTCGGCTCACCGCAACCTCTGCCTTCTAGGTTCAAGTGATTCTCCTGCCTCAGCCTCCCGAGTAGCTGGGATTAAAGGCATGTGCCTCTATGACAGGCTGATTTGTATTTTTAGTAGAGTCGGGATTTCTCCATGTTGGTCAGGGTGATCTCCACCTCCCGACTACAGGTGATTGACCCGCCTCGGCATGCCATTGTGCTGGGATTACAGGCGTGAGACACCATTCCCAACCACAACTCTATTCTTTACTGCTGTATTTATTAATTCACTAACATGCATATTCTAACATTACAAACTAGGCCATCCAACACAACTATGCATTAAGACATAGTTAAGGAAAGAATGTACTCAAAGTGATTGGGAACATTAACATTGCTTTCCACACTTTTTTTTTCTTTAAGAACACACATTTGTTGATCAGAGTTCTGGAGGCCGGAAGTCCACGATGAGAGTGCCAGCATGATCGGGGTCTGGTGAGGACCCTCTTCCAGGTTGGAGACTGTCATATCCTCCCTGTCTCCCCACATGGAAGGTGCTGGCGAGCTCTCTTCCGTCACTTTCAGAAGGGCACTAATCCCATTTACGAGGGTTCCACTTTCATAATCTCATCATCTCCCAAGGGCCCCACCTCCTAATACCTCCGCTTTGGAGGTTTGAGTGTTAGAATTTAAGCCTAAAGGAAAAAGCATTTTATTTTTGAGAGAGAGTCTTGCTCTGTTGCCCAGGCTGAAGTTCAGTGGCAAGATCTCGACTCCCTGTAGCCATTACATCCCGGGCGAAAGCGATCCTAACACTTCAGCCTCCTAAGGAGCTGAGACTACAGGCACCTACCAGCACACTTGGCTGATTTTTACATTTTTGTAGAGACGAGGGTCTCGCCATGCTCTTCCGGCTTGTCTCGAACTCCTGGGTTCAAGCGAGCCTCCTGCCTCTGCCTCCCAAAGCACTGGGATTACAGGCATGAGCCAACACTCCCACACCAAGATATTCATACAGTAAATATGAACTCCTATATCAGATTCCATATCTAATAATGATTGCTGGCGGTAAGGATGCTCACAAGTTACAAGGGTAATGATAATGGAATCACCACGATCTTGGCGATGCAGCATCTCAACCTCCTGCCTTCTTCAATTGTGATCATAGAGATAAAGAGCACATGAAACTCTTACACATTTTCTTTCAAGATTTCGCCTAGAAGTGATACATCTAGAATCCTTGATTTTAGAATGACTGTTTTTAAAATCGAGGAGATGAGTATAACACGGTCTTCTGTGTCCCCAGAGTGAGATGAGAAATGTATAAGTGACTCAGGCAGTTATTCAATTATTCTTCTATTCACCAATTTTTCTTTTACACACAGGAAGGAAGGACGGAAGGAAGAGGGGAAGGGGAAGGGAAGAAGGCAGGAAGGAAGGAAAGAGGGAAGGGAGGGAGGAAGGATGGAAAGAGGGAGGGAGGGAGTGAGGGGGGGAAAGAGGGGGGTTAGGATCGAGGGAGGGAGAAAGCAAAAAATGTCTGAAAGAACGAAAGAAAGAGAGAAAATATCTCCAAAACCCACAATGAGTCAACAGCAATGAACATTCTCAAGAGAAAGAAGGGTCTCCACCCCAGGAACAGCCACTTCATCCTGGCTTCACACACACACAAACACACACACACACACACACACACGCTTTCACAGGCACATCCACAAATCCAATCAAAGGTTCCTTCGTGTCATCCTGAAATTCTCAGCAGCGTTTGTCAAATGCCCTAAGATTGATCTTCTGAAGCACCTTCTTACTTGGGTAGGAAGAAAGAAGCCAACATGTTTAGGAAACATGGCAGGAATTCAAGCAGAGACGCTCAGAGAAGCTTGTGAATTTCCTTCTGCTTCTGCTCCTTTGACACTTCATTTCATGTACATAGCATTCCCCAGGATAGCCACCGTGAAAATTAACATATTTTTATTGCATGAAAATATAAAAGGCACACATGAAAAACTATTTCAGCGATGGATGAATTGGGTATGACAGAAAGTGTCTATCATTATTAGGCAAGAGCTAGAGGATGGGAGGGGACAGGAAACAGGTTGGCTCTTGATGGGATTAGGCAGGTTCTGTTGATCGGTCATCTATGGATTGAGTTACGCCCCAATCCTCCATGAGGGCCCCTCCCGTTGTCATACCAGGAACAGCCAATCACATCAGTTCCTGCTGACAAATCCCCTGGCTCCACCCCCTGCTGACAGTGTACAAGATTCCCCCAAGAGCTCAGTTGTCAGAGCCTCATCCACCTGCCGCTGGCCACAGCCCCGTCGCTACACAACCCAAGCCTTCGGGAGCAGCTTTGGGGCTGACACCACTCTCTCAAAGGAACTAAAGGATTCGGGAGCCAAGAAGAAATCTTTGCAGGAGACAGACAAACACTGGCAGTGGCTGACTTGGAGCAGCAAACCTTGTGCATGGAGTCAGCCCTTCTTCCTGGCGTGTCCTCTACCTCAAACCTGACTACAGAGCGGCCGTCCCCCAGGGCTCATCCCAAATGCCCAAGCCTAGTCCCTGGAGACAGGCTCTGCCTGAAGAATTCCACTTGGATCTCCACGGCCTGGAGCCCCTGCCCACCTCTGCCCTCAGACCTCTACCTCCATCACCCAGTCCGGAGCCCAGAATTTGCCACAAGTTTCTATGGAGGCCAACGTGCAAGGCCCGAAGACGTCTCTTCTAAGGCTCATGGGCCATGCACCCTCAGGCACCAGACGGGAATCAGAGACGCTCTATTCAGAATGAAGCACACCTGCTTTTTCATGGTGTCTCCCTGCACACATGTCTCGGCATCTCGGAGGAGAGAGATGCTGCGCATGCTGGAGAGGTGGAGAAATGCTCCGTCCTCTCACCTGAACCTTTGCTCTGCCTCAGATGTTCTTGATTTGTATCAAAGAGCAACCTTGAGATTGGGGCACAAAATATTTGCAAATCTCATATACGTGCAAGGACTGCTCATACTCAGAATACACAGAGTTGTCAAAACTCCAATGGGACAAACAAATGATTCTGTTCAAAACCCAGCCAGAGACTTGAGCAGACATTTCCTCAAAGGGGATGTAAAGAACCACTTCAAAAAGCGTTCACTGTCCCTCCCCTGGGGAAATGCACGTCAAATACACCTTCAACAACAACCAAGAAGCTCTCCCAGAAGCCACCGTGACAATCACTCACCATCCCAAGGGCTGCGGAGCATGTGGAGAAGCTGGAACACTCTGACAGTGCTGCTTGGAATCCAACTGGGACAACCCCCAGGGAGAAAGAGTTTCATTGATTCATAATCAATGCAATAGGCACTTAGCATTGGAACCATCTTTCCCACCCTGAGATAGTTGTTCTAAAGGAATTAGAACTCACGTGGACAAGGCTGAGGGCAGAGGCTTCTAGCACCTGTCCTCACAATCGCCAAAAGATGGAGGGGCCTTCAATGTCGTTCCACAGTGTCTAGAGAGAGGAACTGTGACCCATTCTTTCAATGGGATGCAGTTCAGCAATGAATAGGCTGGGATTGTTGTTGGTAAATTCAGTTCTAAGAATGAGTAGTGAAGAACTTGTCGAAACACTTGAAGGTATGTTTGGACTCTTACGCTATGTGAGACTTCTCCTGAGATTGTAACTCTCATGAAATTGACATGCACATCAAGCATGTGTGATCGACGTTCAGTTTCCAACTGACGTTTGCTGTAAAACACATACTAGATTTTGCATCTGAGAATGAAGGATTGTAGCAGGTATCTTAGTCATCATTGTGACATCAATTGTATTGGTGTTGATTATATCTGTATTCCTTGGGTTAAATAAAAATGTTAAAATGAGTTTCGTCTATTTGCGTTTCTTTTCTTTAATGTGTTTGCTCAAAAATCTCCATTTCTGGGCCGTGCATGGTGGCTCATGCCTGTAATCCGAGCACTTCGGGAGGCTCAGGCGGGTGCATCACGAGGGCAGGAGATCGAGACCGTCCTGGCTAACACGGTGAAAGCCCGTCCCTACAAAAAAAAAAAAAAATGCAAAAACCTTAGCTGGGCGTGGTGTCGGGCGCCTGTAGTCCCAGCTCTTTGGGAGGCTGAGGCAGGAGAATGGCATGACCCCAGGAGGCAGAGCTTGCAGTGAGCCGAGGTCACTCCACTGCACTCCAGCCTGGGCCACGGTGCGAGGTTCCGTCTCATCAAAAGAAGAACAAAAATCTCCATCTCTGGCCGGGCACAGTAGCTCCCACCTGTAATCCCAGCACTTTGGGAGGCTGAGGCGGGTGGATCACTTGAGCCCAGGCGTTGGAAACCAGCCCGGGCAGCATGAGGAAACCCCATCTCTAGAAAAAATGCAAAAATTACACAGGTGTGGGATCTCCCCACTCCAGAGGCTGAGGTGGGAGGATGGCTTCAGTGCAGGAGGCACAGGTTGCAGTGATCTGAGATCGTGCCATTGCACTCCAGCCTGAGTGACAGAGTGAGACCCGGTCTACAAATAATCCTAATAAAAAGTAAAGTGAAATAAAATAAAACTCCATTTCTGCCGCAAACTGTTTTATTTCTACTGGATACAAGGCACAGATGGTAGAGCCCAGAGTAAGTGGACAGAGATGAGCTTTCTCAAGGCAAAAGAGGATCCCCCACTCCACAGATGACAGCACACACACAAACACACAGTCACACTCTCACACAATCACAAGACACATTTAAGTATCCATTTACACCCCCACCACAGGTCATCTTCAGATTTCCCTGAGTGATTCTCAAATGCATGAGTCTGCACTTCTAACGAGTCTTTTACGAATAGATCCCCAGAGGTGGTCTGTTTGGACAATTAAGGGGGAATCACGATTAGCAACTCTCTCCTAACACCTTGTATATTTGTATATTTCCCTTTACTTCCTTTTCTTTCTTTTCTATTTGGTTATTTATTTATTATTTGAGACGAAATATCCACTGTGCTCGGCATACTTCCCTTTTCTAGGAGTACAAACAAATTATGGAATGATGGGTAACAATCCCCGAAAGAGTCCCTATAAAAGTCAATTCAATATTTTTTGCTATGGAAGCATTAATAAGACACATTAAAAAAGAATCATTTCAGCCAATGGATAAGGAGGCTATAGCAGAAAGTGAGAATCACTCTTATGCCATGACTACTGGAATGGGTAGGAATGGGGCAGGGCTCTCCTCGCCCACCAGGAAGCACCAAGACTGGCCACTCAAATGGTCAACAAACAGCCTTCTTTTTTTTTTTTTTAATTTTTTGATATAGAATTTAGCTTTTGTTGCCCAGGCTGGAGTGCAATGGCGCGATCTCGGCTCACCGCAACCTCTGCCTCCTAGGTTCAAGTGATTCTCCTGCCTCAGCCTCCCGAGTAGCTGGGATTAAAGGCATGTGCCTCTATGACAGGCTGATTTGTATTTTTAGTAGAGTCGGGTTTCTCCATGTTGGTCAGGGTGATCTCCACCTCCCGACTACAGGTGATTGACCCGCCTCGGCATGCCATTGTGCTGGGATTACAGGCGTGAGACTCCATTCCCAACCACAACTCTATTCTTTACTGCTGTATTTATTAATTCACTAACATGCATATTCTAACATTACAAACTAGGCCATCCAACACAACTATGCATTAAGACATAGTTAAGGAAAGAATGTACTCAAAGTGATTGGGAACATTAACATTGCTTTCCACACTTTTTTTTTCTTTAAGAACACACATTTGTTGATCAGAGTTCTGGAGGCCGGAAGTCCACGATGAGAGTGCCAGCATGATCGGGGTCTGGTGAGGACCCTCTTCCAGGTTGGAGACTGTCATATCCTCCCTGTCTCCCCACATGGAAGGTGCTGGCGAGCTCTCTTCCGTCACTTTCAGAAGGGCACTAATCCCATTTACGAGGGTTCCACTTTCATAATCTCATCATCTCCCAAGGGCCCCACCTCCTAATACCTCCGCTTTGGAGGTTTGAGTGTTAGAATTTAAGCCTAAAGGAAAAAGCATTTTATTTTTGAGAGAGAGTCTTGCTCTGTTGCCCAGGCTGAAGTTCAGTGGCAAGATCTCGACTCCCTGTAGCCATTACATCCCGGGCGAAAGCGATCCTAACACTTCAGCCTCCTAAGGAGCTGAGACTACAGGCACCTACCAGCACACTTGGCTGATTTTTACATTTTTGTAGAGACGAGGGTCTCGCCATGCTCTTCCGGCTTGTCTCGAACTCCTGGGTTCAAGCGAGCCTCCTGCCTCTGCCTCCCAAAGCACTGGGATTACAGGCATGAGCCAACACTCCCACACCAAGATATTCATACAGTAAATATGAACTCCTATATCAGATTCCATATCTAATAATGATTGCTGGCAGTAAGGATGCTCACAAGTTACAAGGGTAATGATAATGGAATCACCACGATCTTGGCGATGCAGCATCTCAACCTCCTGCCTTCTTCAATTGTGATCATAGAGATGAAGAGCACATGAAACTCTTACACATTCTCTTTCAAGATTTCGCCTAGAAGTGATACATCTAGAATCCTTGATTTTAGAATGACTGTTTTTAAAATCGAGGAGATGAGTACAACACGGTCTTCTGTGTCCCCAGAGTGAGATGAGAAATGTATAAGTGACTCAGGCAGTTATTCAATTATTCTTCTATTCACCAATTTTTCTTTTACACACAGGAAGGAAGGACAGAAGGAAGAGGGGAAGGGGAAGGGAAGAAGGCAGGAAGGAAGGAAAGAGGGAAGGGAGGGAGGAAGGATGGAAACAAGGAGGGAGGGAGTGAGGGGGGGGATGGAGGGGGGTTAGGATCCAGGGAGGGAGAAAGCAAAAAATGTCTGAAAGAACGAAAGAAAGAGAGAAAATATCTCCAAAACCCACAATGAGTCAACAGCAATGAACATTCTCAAGAGAAAGAAGGGTCTCCACCCCAGGAACAGCCACTTCATCCTGGCTTCACACACACACACACACACACACACACACACACACACACGCTTTCACAGGCACATCCACAAATCCAATCAAAGGTTCCTTCGTGTCATCCTGAAATTCTCAGCAGGGTTTGTCAAATGCCATAAGATTGATCTTCTGAAGCACCTTCTTACTTGGGTAGGAAGAAAGAAGCCAACATATTTAGGAAACATGGCAGGAATTGAAGCAGAGACGCTCAGAGAAGCTTGTGAATTTCCTTCTGCTTCTGCTCCTTTGACACTTCATTTCATGTACATAGCATTCCCCAGGATGGCCACCGTGAAAATTAACATATTTTTATTGCATGAAAATATAAAAGGCACACATGAAAAACTATTTCAGCGATGGATGAATTGGGTATGACAGAAAGTGTCTATCATTATTAGGCAAGACCTAGAGGATGGGAGGGGACAGGAAACAGGTTGGCTCTTGATGGGATTAGGCAGGTTCTGTTGATCGGTCATCTATGGATTGAGTTACGCCCCAATCCTCCATGAGGGCCCCTCCCGTTGTCATACCAGGAACAGCCAATCACATCAGTTCCTGCTGACAAATCCCCTGGCTCCACCCCCTGCTGACAGTGTACAAGATTCCCCCAAGAGCTCAGTTGTCGGAGCCTCGTCCACCTGCCGCTGGCCACAGCCCCGTCGCTACACAACCCAAGCCTTCGGGAGCAGCTTTGGGGCTGACACCACTCTCTCAAAGGAACTAAAGGATTCGGGAGCCAAGAAGAAATCTTTGCAGGAGACAGACAAACACTGGCAGTGGCTGACTTGGAGAACCCTGGAAATTTTCACCATGAAAGGTTCCCGGCGCCCAAGAAGCCCCAGTGATTCCTGCACCGAATCCAAGAGCGACCACGCAGGAGAGAGCGGGTGAGCTTTGCTATGTGCTGGGGACGCCTGCGGGGTGACCTGCCTGTGGGATGTGTGGGTGTGTGTTGGAGAGAGGGGAAGGGAAAAGGGTGCATGAACCTGCCATGAGATTGGATGTTTTGAATTTGGGGCCAGAGGGAAGTGAGGTGCCCGTAAGTCATCACAGGGTGCTGGGAAGGCTTCTACATCGCAACCACACACATATCTCAGGGCAGCCCCACTTTCAATCCACCCAACCAGCTCCACAGGGAATGGGTTCTGTGTTCTGCAAGAAGGGAGATTGTAGGACATGATGTGAGAGTTTCAAGATCTACTAGGAAAAATAAAACAGTTTCCTCCTTTTTTCATTTTTAATTTTTCTATTTGTCTTATTTACTGATTTATTTTACTGAGACAGCGTCTCACTCCGATGGTCCACACTGGAGTGCAGTGGCGTGATTTTAGCTGACTGCGGGCTCCACCTCTGAGTCGCAGGTGATCCTCCCACCTGAGCCTCCTGAGTAGGTGAGACCACAGGCATGCACCACCATGACCCACTAATGTTTAGTATTTTTAGTGGAGACTAGCTTTCACCATGTTGCCCAGGCTGCTCTCAAACTCCTGGACTCAAGCAATCCTCCGACCTTGGCCTCCCAAAGTGCTGGGATTACAGGCGCATGCCGTCATGCCCGACAAATTCCTTCCTCTTCTCCTGCTGTGATTCGAATCCTAAGACCCCATTCCTTTGTTACCTGTGTAGACAGAGGTGCCACCTCTCCGGGATCTCAACATCTTTCTCCAGCTCCTCACACCCAAGGAGAGTTTTCCAACTCTCATCTGCATGAGCTCCTGAAAGGGTCAACTGCTCCCTGTGGGCACCGACCCTCCTTCCCTGCCTTTTCTTCACCCAGGGAAGCTCAGGTAGATGGGGTGAGAACAAGAACAGCTGGGAGTTAGGACAGATTGGGAGCAGGTCTCACAGGAAGTGGATGACGAGTCTGTGGCCTTGAATGAAAGGCAGGGAAGTGGAGTGAATTTGTGGGGATTCAGGGAATTGGACGTTAGGGAACTGCCCGAAATCTGACTGTGTCTCTCTGTCCTACAGCTCCAGCGGCACGCCATCAAATGCCCCAAAACGCCAGAAAGTGGAGGAGCTGGGTCCTCATCCAGGTGAGGCATCTTCTCTTTTTCATCCTGAGTCCCCTGCTACCAAGCCAGTGTCCCGTCACGTCATGAGGCGAGCAGCTGTGCTGTCCAGAGTGTCGGGAGCTTCCTCCTGCAGCTCCGTGGCTGGGTGTCCTGTACCTGGCTTCTTCTGTATTTGGTCTTTCTCACGGTGGCACCTTGAACCCTCAAGGGCATCCTGCATGACAAGGGCTTTCACCTGCACACTCTGCTCTCTCCACAGGTGCAGAACCAGCTCCGGTACAGCCAGCTCCCCACCACCCTGCACAGCTGCCCCTGGAGCTGCCCCAGGTAAGGTCACACCACCTAGGTGGGCGTGGGTGAGACAGGTCTGCCTGAGCTCCAGGCCCTAGGGGACTTGCAGGAAATCACCGTCCCAAGGGGCGTCAATACAGGTGCCAATTCTGGGTGTCCCTGCGGGGTTTCATTTATGCCTGGGGAAGTTACTGGCAGCTCCCCGCCTTGCTCTCTCCCTGTTTGAGCCACCCTCAGAGGACAATGACTGACCCACGGCTTTTCTCCCCCAGGGCCCACAGCTTCCCCAGAGGAAGATGATCATCGCGGTCTTGGAACCAGGAATGGTCCTGCACCTGCGCCTGGGGCAGGAGTTCCTGGGGCTGGACCCACAGGGAGCCCTGCGACTCAGCCTCCTCAATGTGCAGCTCCTGGTGGTCCCTGAGCAACTCTTGATGTCCCTGAAGGATCTCTTGTACCCTGCCCATGCCCGCTGGCTCCTGCTCACTAGTACAGAGACTGTCTGGGAGATTGACATTGAAAATGGATCTGTGAGAGCCCAGAGAGCAGAGAATGTGTGTGTGGCGCCTTCAGTAGAAGAGGGTGAGGCTCCCCAAGGCTTCCTGCCCCTGATGGGACCCCCAGCAAACCTTGTGCATGGAGTCAGCCCTTCTTCCTGGCGTGTCCTCTACCTCAAACCTGACTACAGAGCGGCCGTCCCCCAGGGCTCATCCCAAATGCCCAAGCCTAGTCCCTGGAGACAGGCTCTGCCTGAAGAATTCCACTTGGATCTCCACGGCCTGGAGCCCCTGCCCACCTCTGCCCTCAGACCTCTACCTCCATCACCCAGTCCGGAGCCCAGAATTTGCCACAAGTTTCTATGGAGGCCAACGTGCAAGGCCCGAAGACGTCTCTTCTAAGGCTCATGGGCCATGCACCCTCAGGCACCAGACGGGAATCAGAGACGCTCTATTCAGAATGAAGCACACCTGCTTTTTCATGGTGTCTCCCTGCACACATGTCTCGGCATCTCGGAGGAGAGAGATGCTGCGCATGCTGGAGAGGTGGAGAAATGCTCCGTCCTCTCACCTGAACCTTTGCTCTGCCTCAGATGCTCTTGATTTGTATCAAAGAGCAACCTTGAGATTGGGGCACAAAATATTTGCAAATCTCATATACGTGCAAGGACTGCTCATACTCAGAATACACAGAGTTGTCAAAACTCCAATGGGACAAACAAATGATTCTGTTCAAAACCCAGCCAGAGACTTGAGCAGACATTTCCTCAAAGGGGATGTAAAGAACCACTTCAAAAAGCGTTCACTGTCCCTCCCCTGGGGAAATGCACGTCAAATACACCTTCAACAACAACCAAGAAGCTCTCCCAGAAGCCACCGTGACAATCACTCACCATCCCAAGGGCTGCGGAGCATGTGGAGAAGCTGGAACACTCTGACAGTGCTGCTTGGAATCCAACTGGGACAACCCCCAGGGAGAAAGAGTTTCATTGATTCATAATCAATGCAATAGGCACTTAGCATTGGAACCATCTTTCCCACCCTGAGATAGTTGTTCTAAAGGAATTAGAACTCACGTGGACAAGGCTGAGGGCAGAGGCTTCTAGCACCTGTCCTCACAATCGCCAAAAGATGGAAGGGCCTTCAATGTCGTTCCACAGTGTCTAGAGAGAGGAACTGTGACCCATTCTTTCAATGGGATGCAGTTCAGCAATGAATAGGCTGGGATTGTTGTTGGTAAATTCAGTTCTAAGAATGAGTAGTGAAGAACTTGTCGAAACACTTGAAGGTATGTTTGGACTCTTACGCTATGTGAGACTTCTCCTGAGATTGTAACTCTCATGAAATTGACATGCACATCAAGCATGTGTGATCGACGTTCAGTTTCCAACTGACGTTTGCTGTAAAACACATACTAGATTTTGCATCTGAGAATGAAGGATTGTAGCATGTATCTTAGTCATCACTGTGACATCAATTGTATTGGTGTTGATTATATCTGTATTCCTTGGGTTAAATAAAAATGTTAAAATGAGTTTCGTCTATTTGCGTTTCTTTTCTTTAATGTGTTTGCTCAAAAATCTCCATTTCTGGGCCGTGCATGGTGGCTCATGCCTGTAATCCGAGCACTTCGGGAGGCTCAGGCGGGTGCATCACGAGGGCAGGAGATCGAGACCGTCCTGGCTAACACGGTGAAAGCCCGTCCCTACAAAAAAAAAAAAAATAAATGCAAAAACCTTAGCTGGGCGTGGTGTCGGGCGCCTGTAGTCCCAGCTCTTTGGGAGGCTGAGGCAGGAGAATGGCATGACCTCAGGAGGCAGAGCTTGCAGTGAGCCGAGGTCACTCCACTGCACTCCAGCCTGGGCCACGGTGCGAGGTTCCGTCTCATCAAAAGAAGAACAAAAATCTCCATTTCTGGCCGGGCACAGTAGCTCCCACCTGTAATCCCAGCACTTTGGGAGGCTGAGGCGGGTGGATCACTTGAGCCCGGGCGTTGGAAACCAGCCCGGGCAGCATGAGGAAACCCCATCTCTAGAAAAAATGCAAAAATTACACAGGTGTGGGATCTCCCCACTCCAGAGGCTGAGGTGGGAGGATGGCTTCAGTGCAGGAGGCACAGGTTGCAGTGATCTGAGATCGTGCCGTTGCACTCCAGCCTGAGTGACAGAGTGAGACCCGGTCTACAAATAATCCTAATAAAAAGTAAAGTAAAATAAAATAAAACTCCATTTCTGCCGCAAACTGTTTTATTTCTACTGGATACAAGGCACAGATGGTAGAGCCCAGAGTAAGTGGACAGAGATGAGCTTTCTCAAGGCAAAAGAGGATCCCCCACTCCACAGATGACAGCACACACACAAACACACAGTCACACTCTCACACAATCACAAGACACATTTAAGTATCCATTTACACCCCCACCACAGGTCATCTTCAGATTTCCCTGAGTGATTCTCAAATGCATGAGTCTGCACTTCTAACGAGTCTTTTACGAATAGATCCCCAGAGGTGGTCTGTTTGGACAATTAAGGGGGAATCACGATTAGCAACTCTCTCCTAACACCTTGTATATTTGTATATTTCCCTTTACTTCCTTTTCTTTCTTTTCTATTTGGTTATTTATTTGTTATTTGAGACGAAATATCCACTGTGCTCGGCATACTTCCCTTTTCTAGGAGTACAAACAAATTATAGAATGATGGGTAACAATACCCGAAAGAGTCCCTATAAAAGTCAATTCAATTTTTTTTGCTATGGAAGCATTTATAAGACACATTAAAAAACAATCATTTCAGCCAATGGATAAGGAGGCTATAGCAGAAAGTGAGAATCACTCTTATGCCATGACTACTGGAATGGGTAGGAATGGGGCAGGGCTCTCCTCGCCCACCAGGAAGCACCAAGACTGGCCACTCAAATGGTCAACAAACAGCCTTCTTTTTTTTTTTTTTAATTTTTTGATATAGAATTTAGCTTTTGTTGCCCAGGCTGGAGTGCAATGGCGCGATCTCGGCTCACCGCAACCTCTGCCTCCTAGGTTCAAGTGATTCTCCTGCCTCAGCCTCCCGAGTAGCTGGGATTAAAGGCATGTGCCTCTATGACAGGCTGATTTGTATTTTTAGTAGAGTCGGGTTTCTCCATGTTGGTCAGGGTGATCTCCACCTCCCGACTACAGGTGATTGACCCGCCTCGGCATGCCATTGTGCTGGGATTACAGGCGTGGAAGAGGGGAAGGGGAAGGGAAGAAGGCAGGAAGGAAGGAAAGAGGGAAGGGAGGGAGGAAGGATGGAAAGAGGGAGGGAGGGAGTGAGGGGGGGATGGAGGGGGGTTAGGATCGAGGGAGGGAGAAAGCAAAAAATGTCTGAAAGAACGAAAGAAAGAGAGAAAATATCTCCAAAACCCACAATGAGTCAACAGCAATGAACATTCTCAAGAGAAAGAAGGGTCTCCACCCCAGGAACAGCCACTTCATCCTGGCTTCACACACACACACACACACACACACACACACACACACACACACACGCTTTCACAGGCACATCCACAAATCCAATCAAAGGTTCCTTCGTGTCATCCTGAAATTCTCAGCGGCGTTTGTCAAATGCCCTAAGATTGAACTTCTGAAGCACCTTCTTACTTGGGTAGGAAGAAAGAAGCCAACATGTTTAGGAAACATGGCAGGAATTGAAGCAGAGACGCTCAGAGAAGCTTGTGAATTTCCTTCTGCTTCTGCTCCTTTGACACTTCATTTCATGTACATAGCATTCCCCAGGATAGCCACCGTGAAAATTAACATATTTTTATTGCATGAAAATATAAAAGGCACACATGAAAAACTATTTCAGCGATGGATGAATTGGGTATGACAGAAAGTGTCTATCATTATTAGGCAAGACCTAGAGGATGGGAGGGGACAGGAAACAGGTTGGCTCTTGATGGGATTAGGCAGGTTCTGTTGATCGGTCATCTATGGATTGAGTTACGCCCCAATCCTCCATGAGGGCCCCTCCCGTTGTCATACCAGGAACAGCCAATCACATCAGTTCCTGCTGACAAATCCCCTGGCTCCACCCCCTGCTGACAGTGTACAAGATTCCCCCAAGAGCTCAGTTGTCAGAGCCTCATCCACCTGCCGCTGGCCACAGCCCCGTCGCTACACATCCCAAGCCTTCGGGAGCAGCTTTGGGGCTGACACCACTCTCTCAAAGGAACTAAAGGATTCGGGAGCCAAGAAGAAATCTTTGCAGGAGACAGACAAACACTGGCAGTGGCTGACTTGGAGAACCCTGGAAATTTTCACCATGAAAGGTTCCCGGCGCCCAAGAAGCCCCAGTGATTCCTGCACCGAATCCAAGAGCGACCACGCAGGAGAGAGCGGGTGAGCTTTGCTATGTGCTGGGGACGCCTGCGGGGTGACCTGCCTGTGGGATGTGTGGGTGTGTGTTGGAGAGAGGGGAAGGGAAAAGGGTGCATGAACCTGCCATGAGATTGGATGTTTTGAATTTGGGGCCAGAGGGAAGTGAGGTGCCCGTAAGTCATCACAGGGTGCTGGGAAGGCTTCTACATCGCAACCACACACATATCTCAGGGCAGCCCCACTTTCAATCCACCCAACCAGCTCCACAGGGAATGGGTTCTGTGTTCTGCAAGAAGGGAGATTGTAGGACATGATGTGAGAGTTTCAAGATCTACTAGGAAAAATAAAACAGTTTCCTCCTTTTTTCATTTTTAATTTTTCTATTTGTCTTATTTACTGATTTATTTTATTGAGACAGCGTCTCACTCCGATGGTCCACACTGGAGTGCAGTGGCGTGATTTTAGCTGACTGCGGGCTCCACCTCTGAGTCGCAGGTGATCCTCCCACCTGAGCCTCCTGAGTAGGTGAGACCACAGGCATGCACCACCATGACCCACTAATGTTTAGTATTTTTAGTGGAGACTAGCTTTCACCATGTTGCCCAGGCTGCTCTCAAACTCCTGGACTCAAGCAATCCTCCGACCTTGGCCTCCCAAAGTGCTGGGATTACAGGCGCATGCCGTCATGCCCGACAAATTCCTTCCTCTTCTCCTGCTGTGATTCGAATCCTAAGACCCCATTCCTTTGTTACCTGTGTAGACAGAGGTGCCACCTCTCCGGGATCTCAACATCTTTCTCCAGCTCCTCACACCCAAGGAGAGTTTTCCAACTCTCATCTGCATGAGCTCCTGAAAGGGTAAACTGCTCCCTGTGGGCACCGACCCTCCTTCCCTGCCTTTTCTTCACCCAGGGAAGCTCAGGTAGATGGGGTGAGAACAAGAACAGCTGGGAGTTAGGACAGATTGGGAGCAGGTCTCACAGGAAGTGGATGACGAGTCTGTGGCCTTGAATGAAAGGCAGGGAAGTGGAGTGAATTTGTGGGGATTCAGGGAATTGGACGTTAGGGAACTGCCCGAAATCTGACTGTGTCTCTCTCTCTGTCCTACAGCTCCAGCGGCACGCCATCAAATGCCCCAAAACGCCAGAAAGTGGAGGAGCTGGGTCCTCATCCAGGTGAGGCATCTTCTCTTTTTCATCCTGAGTCCCCTGCTACCAAGCCAGTGTCCCGTCACGTCATGAGGCGAGCAGCTGTGCTGTCCAGAGTGTCGGGAGCTTCCTCCTGCAGCTCCGTGGCTGGGTGTCCTGTACCTGGCTTCTTCTGTATTTGGTCTTTCTCACGGTGGCACCTTGAACCCTCAAGGGCATCCTGCATGACAAGGGCTTTCACCTGCACACTCTGCTCTCTCCACAGGTGCAGAACCAGCTCCGGTACAGCCAGCTCCCCACCACCCTGCACAGCTGCCCCTGGAGCTGCCCCAGGTAAGGTCACACCACCTAGGTGGGCGTGGGTGAGACAGGTCTGCCTGAGCTCCAGGCCCTAGGGGACTTGCAGGAAATCACCGTCCCAAGGGGCGTCAATACAGGTGCCAATTCTGGGTGTCCCTGCGGGGTTTCATTTATGCCTGGGGAAGTTACTGGCAGCTCCCCGCCTTGCTCTCTCCCTGTTTGAGCCACCCTCAGAGGACAATGACTGACCCACGGCTTTTCTCCCCCAGGGCCCACAGCTTCCCCAGAGGAAGATGATCATCGCGGTCTTGGAACCAGGAATGGTCCTGCACCTGCGCCTGGGGCAGGAGTTCCTGGGGCTGGACCCACAGGGAGCCCTGCGACTCAGCCTCCTCAATGTGCAGCTCCTGGTGGTCCCTGAGCAACTCTTGATGTCCCTGAAGGATCTCTTGTACCCTGCCCATGCCCGCTGGCTCCTGCTCACTAGTACAGAGACTGTCTGGGAGATTGACATTGAAAATGGATCTGTGAGAGCCCAGAGAGCAGAGAATGTGTGTGTGGCGCCTTCAGTAGAAGAGGGTGAGGCTCCCCAAGGCTTCCTGCCCCTGATGGGACCCCCAGCAAACCTTGTGCATGGAGTCAGCCCTTCTTCCTGGCGTGTCCTCTACCTCAAACCTGACTACAGAGCGGCCGTCCCCCAGGGCTCATCCCAAATGCCCAAGCCTAGTCCCTGGAGACAGGCTCTGCCTGAA